>NC_000001.11:122109969-122125244 GCF_000001405.40 Homo sapiens | reverse complement strand
CCTCTTCAGTTATGTGAGGTTTATCCCGTTTCCAACGAAATTCTCAGAGAAGTCCAAAAATCCACTTGCATATTCCACAAAAGGTGTGTTTGGAAAAAGCGCCATCAAAAGATATGCTCAGCTCTGTGAGTTAAACTCAATCATCGCAAACAATTTTCTGAGAATGATTCTGTCTTGTTTTTAGATGAAGTTCTTTCCTTTACTACGACAGGCCTCAAAGAGGTCCAAATCTCCACTTGCAGATTCTGCAGAAGGAGTGTTTCAAACCTGAACCATCAGAGGAAGGTTCAACACTGTGAGTTGAATGCAAGCATCACGAAGAAGGTTCTGAGAATGCTTCTGTTTACGTAGGTGAGTTCTCTCCCGTATCCAACGAAATCCTCAGAGCGGTCCGAATCTCCACTTGCAGATTCTACACAAAGTGTGTTTGGAAACTGCTCCATCCAAAGGAATGTTCAGCTCCGTGAGTTGAACTCAATCGTCACAAAGTGTTTCCTGGGAATGCTACTGTCTCGTTTTTATGTGCAGTTATATCCTCTACTGCCATAGGCCTCAAAGCGGTCCAAATCTCCCCTTTCAGATTCTACCAAAAGTGTGTTTCCAAACGGCTCCATCAAAGGGAATGTTCAACTCGGTGACTTGAAAGCAATCATCACACAGCAGTTTCTGAGAATGCTTCCATGTATCTTTGATGAGAAGATATTTCCTTTTCCACCCCAGGCCTCGAAGCCCTCCAAATGTCCCCTTGCAGATGCTAGAAAGGGAGGGTTTCAAAGCTGCTCTATCAAAAGGAAAGTACAACACTGCGAGTTGAATGCAAACATCACAAAGAAGTTCCTGAGCATGCTTCCGTTTAGCTTTTACGGGAAGATTATCCCTTTTCCATCGCAATGTTCAATGAGGTCCACATATCCGCTTGCAGATTCCACCGAAAGAGTGTTTCCAACCTGCTGCATCAAAAGGAATCCTCAGCTCCGTGAGTTGAATGCAATCATCACCAAGAAGTTTCTGACAATGCTTCTCTCTAGCTTTTATGTGAAGATATTTCCTTTTCCACCGCAGGCCTGAAAGCGCTCCAAATGTCCACTTGGAGGCTCTACGAAAAGAATGTTTCAAAACTGCTCTATGAAAAGCAATGTTATACTCTGGGAGTTGAACACAAGCCTCACAAAGGAGTTTCTGAGAATGCTTCTGTTTACTTTTTACGTGAGGATATTCCCGTTTCCAAAGAAGTCTTCACAGAGTTCCACCTATCCATTTGCAGATGCCAGGAAAACTAGAGAGTTTCAAAACTGCTCTATCAAAAGGAATGTTCAACTCTGTGAGTTGCGGGCAATCATCACAGAGAAGATTCTGAGAAGGCTTCTGTCTAGATTTTATGTGAAGATATAGCCGTTTCGAACGAAGGCCACAAAGTGCTCCAAATATCCACTTGCAGGTCCTCCAAAAAGAGTGTTTCAAACGTGAACTACCAAAGGAAGGCTCAACTCGGGACTTTGAAGGCCAACGTCAGAAGGATGTTTCTGCGGAAGCTTCTGTTTAGTTAGGTGACGTTATCCCGTCTGCAACGAAATCCTCAGAGAGGTCCAAATATCCACCTGCAGAGTCTACAAAAAGTGTGTTTCAAAACTGCTCCACCCAAAGGAATGTTCAGCTCTGTGAGTTGAACTCAATCATCCCAAAGTATTTTCTGAGAATGCTTCTGTCCAGTTTTTACATGAAGCTGTTTCCTTTACTACCGTAGGCCTCAAAGCATTCCAAACCTCCACTTGCAGATACTACGAAAAGAGCGTTTCAACCTGAACTCACAAGGGAAGGTTCAACTCTGCCAGTTGAATGCCAACATCACCAAGAACTTCTGAGAATGTCCTCTTCAGTTATGTGAGGTTTATCCCGTTTCCAACGAAATTCTCAGAGAAGTCCCAAAATCCACTTGCATATTCCACAAAAGGTGTGTTTGGAAATTGAGCCATGAGAAGATATGCTCAGCTCTGTGAGTTAAACTCAATCATCGCAAAGAATTTTCTGAGAGTGCTTCCGTCTTGTTTTTAGATGAAGTTCTTTCCTTTACTACGATAGGCCTCAAAGAGGTCCAAATCTCCACTTGCAGATTCTGCAGAAGGAGTGTTTCAAACCTGAACTGTCAGAGAAAGGTTCAACACTGTGAGTTGAATGCAAGCATCACGAAGAAGGTTCTGAGAATGCTTCTGTTTACGTAGGTGACTTTTCTCCCTTATCCAACGAAATCCTCAGAGCGGTCCAAATCTCCACTTGCAGATTCTACACAAAGTGTGTTTGGAAACTGCTCCACCCAAAGGAATGTTCAGCTCTGTGAGTTGAACTCAATGGTCACAAAGCGTTTCCTGGGAATGCTCCTGTCTCGCTTTTATGTGCAGTTATATCCTTTACTGCCATAGGTCTCAAAGCGGTCCAAATCTCCCCTTTCAGATTCTACCAAAAGTGTGTTTCCAAACGGCCCCATCAAAGGGGATGTTCAACTCGGTGACTTGAATGCAATCATCACAAAGCAGCTTCTGAGAATGCTTCCATGTAGCTTTGATGAGAAGATATTTCCTTTTCCACCCCAGGCCTCGAAGCCCTCCAAATGTCCCCTTGCAGATGCTAGAAAGAGGGGGTTTCAAAGCTGCTCTATCAAAAGGAAAGTACAACTCTGTGAGTTGAATGCAAACATCACAAGGAAGTTCCTGAGCATGCTTCTGTTTAGCTTTTACGGGAAGATTATCCCTTTTCCATCAGAATGTTCAAAGAGGTCCACATATCCGCTTGCAGATTCCACCGAAAGAGTGTTTCCAAACTGCTGCATCAAAAGGAATCCTCAGCTCCGTGAGTTGAATGCAATCATCACCAAGAGGATTCTGAGAATGCTTCTCTCTAGTTTTTATGTGAAGATATTTCCTTATCCACCACAGGCCTGAAAGCGCTCCAAATGTCCACTTGGAGGCTCTACGAAAAGAATGTTTCAAAACTGCTCCATGAAAAGCAATGTTATACTCTGGGAGTTGAACACAAGCCTCACAAAGGAGTTTCTGAGAATGCTTCTGTTTACTTTTTACGTGAGGATATTCCCGTTTCCAAAGAAGTCTTCACAGAGTTCCACCTATACATTTGCAGATGCTAGCAAAAGAGAGTTTCAAAACTGCTCCATCAAAAGGAATGTTTAACTCTGTGAGTTGCATGCAATCATCACAGAGAAGTTTCTGAGAAGGCTTCTGTCTAGATTTTATGTGAAGATATGGCCGTTTCGAACGAAGGCCACAAAGTGCTCCAAATATCCACTTGCAGGTCCTCGAAAGAGAGTGTTTCAAACGTGAACTACCAAAGGAAGGCTCAACTCTGGACTTTGAATGCCAACGTCAGAAGGATGTTTCTGCGAAAACTTCTGTTTAGTTAGGTGACGTTATCCCTTCTGCAACGAAATCCTCAGAGAGGTCCAAATATCCACCTGCAGAGTCTACAAAAAGTGTGTTTCAAAACTGCTCCACCCAAAGGAATGTTCAGCTCTGTGAGTTGAACTCAATCATCCCAAAGTATTTTCTGAGAATGCTTCTGTCCAGTTTTTACATGAAGCTGTTTCCTTTACTACCGTAGGCCTCAAAGCGTTCCAAACCTCCACTTGCAGATACTACGAAAAGAGCGTTTCAACCTGAACTCACAAGGGAAGGTTCAACTCTGTCAGTTGAATGCCAACATCACCAAGAAGTTCTGAGAATGTTCCTCTTCAGTTATGTGAGGTTTATCCCGTTTCCCACGAAATTCTCAGAGAAGTCCCTAAATCCACTTGCATATTCCACAAAAGGTGTGTTTGGAAAATGCGCCATCAAAAGATATGCTCAGCTCTGTGAGTTAAACTCAATCATCGCAAAGAATTTTCTGAGAATGCTTCCGTCTTGTTTTTAGATGAAGTTCTTTCCTTTACTACCACAGGCCTCAAAGAGGTCCAAATCTCCACTGGCAGATTCTGCAGAAGGAGTGTTTCAAACCTGAACTGTCAGAGAAAGGTTCAACACTGTGAGTTGAATGCAAACATCACGAAGAAGGTTACTGAGAATGCTTCTGTTTACGTAGGTGACTTTTCTCCCGTATCCAACGAAATCCTCAGAGCGGTCCAAATCTCCACTTGCAGATTCTACACAAAGTGTGTTTGGAAACTGCTTCACCCAAAGGAATGTTCAGCTCTGTGAGTTGAACTCAATCGTCACAAAGCGTTTCCTGGGAATGCTCCTGTCTCGCTTTTATGTGCAGTTATATCCTCTACTGCCATAGGCCTCAAAGCGGTCCAAATCTCCCCTTTCAGATTCTACCAAAAGTGTGTTTCCAAACGGCCCCATCAAAGGGGATGTTCAACTCGGTGACTTGAATGCAATCATCACAAAGCAGCTTCTGAGAATGCTTCCATGTAGCTTTGATGAGAAGATATTTCCTTTTCCACCCCAGGCCTCGAAGCCCTCCAAATGTCCCCTTGCAGATGCTAGAAAGAGGGGGTTTCAAAGCTGCTCTATCAAAAGGAAAGTACAACTCTGTGAGTTGAATGCAAACATCACAAGGAAGTTCCTGAGCATGCTTCCGTTTAGCTTTTACGGGAAGATTATCCCTTTTCCATCGAAATGTTCAAAGAGGTCCACATATCCGTTTGCAGATTCCACCGAAAGAGTGTTTCCAAACTGCTGCATCCAAAGGAATCCTCAGCTCCGTGAGTTGAATGCAATCATCACCAAGAAGTTTCTGACAATGCTTCTCTCTAGTTTTTATGTGAAGATATTTCCTTTTCCACCGCAGGCCTGAAAGCGCTCCAAATGTCCACTTGGAGGCTCTACGAAAAGAATGTTTCAAAACTGCTCTATGAAAAGCAATGTTATACTCTGGGAGTTGAACACAAGACTCACAAAGGAGTTTCTGAGAATGCTTCTGTTTACTTTTTACGTGAGGATATTCCCGTTTCCAAAGAAGTCTTCACAGAGTTCCACCTATCCATTTGCAGATGTTAGCAAAAGAGAGTTTCAAAACTGCTCCATCAAAAGGAATGTTCAACTCTGTGACTTGCATGCAATCATCACAGAGAAGTTTCTGAGAAGGCTTCTGTCTAGATTTTACATGAAGATATAGCCGTTTCGAACGAAGGCCACAAAGTGCTCCAAATATCCACTTGCAGGTCCTCCAAAAAGAGTGTTTCAAACGTGAACTACCAAAGGAAGGCTCAACTCTGGACTTTGAAGGCCAACGTCAGAAGGATGTTTCTACGAAACCTTCTGTTTTGTTAGGTGACGTTATCCCGTTTCCAACGAAATCCTCAGAGAGGTCCAAATATCCACCTGCAGAGTCTACAAAAAGTGTGTTTCAAAACTGCTCCACCCAAAGGAATGTTCAGCTCTGTGAGTTGAACTCAATCATCCCAAAGTATTTTCTGAGAATGCTTCTGTCCAGTTTTTACATGAAGCTGTTTCCTTTACTACCGTAGGCCTCAAAGCGTTCCAAACCTCCACTTGCAGATACTACGAAAAGAGCGTTTCAACCTGAACTCACAAGGGAAGTTTCAACTCTGTCAGTTGAATGCCAACATCACCAAGAACTTCTGAGAATGTTCCTCTTCAGTTATGTGAGGTTTATCCCGTTTCCAACGAAATTCTCAGAGAAGTCCCAAAATCCACTTGCATATTCTACAAAAGGTGTGTCTTGAAAATGCGCCATCAAAAGATATGCTAAGCTCTGTGAGTTAAACTCAATCATCGCAAAGAATTTTCTGAGAATGCTTCTGTCTTGTTTTTAGATGAAGTTCTTTCCTTTACTACGATAGGCCTCAAAGAGGTCCAAATCTCCACTTGCAGATTCTGCAGAAGGAGTGTTTCAAACCTGAACTGTCAGAGAAAGGTTCAACACTGTGAGTTGAATGCAAGCATCACGAAGAAGGTTCTGAGAATGCTTCTGTTTACGTAGGTGAGTTTTGTCCCGTATCCAACGAAATCCTCAGAGCGGTCCTAATCTCCACTTGCAGATTCTACACAAAGTGTGTTTGGAAACTGCTCCATCCAAAGGAATGTTCAGCTCTGTGAGTTGAACTCAATCGTCACAAAGTGTTTCCTGGGAATGCTCCTGTCTCGCTTTTATGTGCAGTAATATCCTCTACTGCCATAGGCCTCAAAGCGGTCCAAATCTCCCCTTTCAGATTCTACCAAAAGTGTGTTTCCACACGGCCCCATCAAAGGGGATATTCAATTCGGTGACTTGAATGCAATCATCCCGAAGCAGCTTCTGAGAATGCTTCCATGTAGCTTTGATGAGAAGATATTTCCTTTTCCACGCCAGGCCACGAAGCCCTCCAAATGTCCCCTTGCAGATGCTAGAAAGAGGGGGTTTCAAAGCTGCTCTATCAGAAGGAAAGTACAACTCTGTGAGTTGAATGCAAACATCACAAGGAAGTTCCTGAGCATGCTTCCGTTTAGCTTTTATGGGAAGATTATCCCTTTTCCATCGAAATGGTCAAAGAGGTCCACATATCCGCTTGCAGATTCCACCGAAAGAGTGTTTCCAAACTGCTGCATCAAAAGGAATCCTCAGCTCCGTGAGTTGAATGCAATCATCACCAAGAAGTTTCTGACAATGCTTCTCTCTAGCTTTTATGTGAAGATATTTCCTTTTCCACCGCAGGCCTGAAAGCGCTCCAAATGTCCACTTGGAGGCTCTACGAAAAGAATGTTTCAAAACTGCTCTATGAAAAGCAATGTTATACTCTGGGAGTTGAACACAAGCCTCACAAAGGAGTTTCTGAGAATGCTTCTGTTTACTTTTTACGTGAGGATATTCCCGTTTCCAAAGAAGTCTCCACAGAGTTCCACCTATCCATTTGCAGATGCTAGCAAAAGAGAGTTTCAAAACTGCTCTATCAAAAGGAATGTTCAACTCTGTGAGTTGCATGCAATCATCACAGAGAAGTTTCTGAGAAGGCTTCTGTCTAGATTTTATGTGAAGATATAGCCGTTTCGAACGAAGGCCACAAAGTGCTCCAAATATCCACTTGCAGGTCCTCCAAAAAGAGTGTTTCAAACGTGAACTACCAAAGGAAGGCTCAACTGTGGACTTTGAATGCCAACGTCAGAGAGATGTTCCTGCGAAAGCTTCTGTTTTGTTAGGTGACGTTATCCCGTTTCCAACGAAATCCTCAGAGAGGTCCAAATATCCACCTGCAGAGTCTACAAAAAGTGTGTTTCAAAACTGCTCCACCCAAAGGAATGTTCAGCTCTGTGAGTTGAACTCAATCATCCCAAAGTATTTTCTGAGAATGCTTCTGTCCAGTTTTTACATGAAGCTGTTTCCTTTACTACCGTAGGCCTCAAAGCGTTCCAAATTTCCACTTGCAGATGCTACGAAAGGAGCGTTTCAACCTGAACTCACAAGGGAAGGTTCACCACTTGTCAGTTGAATGTCAACATCACAAAGAAGTTCTGAGAATGTTCCTCTTCAGTTATGTGAGGTTTATCCCGTTTCTAACGAAATTCTCAGAGAAGTCCCAATATCCACTTGCATATTCTACAAAAGGAGTGTTTTGAAAATGCGCCATCAAAAGATTTGCTGAGCTCTGTGAGTTAAACTCAATCATCGCAAAGAATTTTCTGAGAATGCTTCTGTCTTGTTTTTAGATGAAGTTCTTTCCTTTACTGCGACAGGCCTCAAAGAGGTCCAAATCTCCACTTGCAGATTCTGCAGAAGGAGTGTTTCAAACCTGAACTATCAGAGAAAGGTTCAACACTGTGTGTTGAATGCAAGCATCATGAAGAAGGTTCTGAGAATGCTTCTGTTTACGTAGGTGACTTCTCTCCCGTATCCAACGAAATCCTCAGAGCGGTGCAAATCTCCACTTGCAGATTCTACACAAAGTGTGTTTGGAAACTGCTCCATCCAAAGGAATGTTCAGCTCTGTGAGTTGAACTCAATCGTCACAAAGCTGTTTCCCTGGGAATGCTCCTGTCTCGTTTTTATGTGCAGTTATATCCTCTACTGCCATAGGCCTCAAAGCGGTCCAAATCTCCCCTTTCAGATTCTACCAAAAGTGTGTTTCCAAACGGCTCCATCAAAGGGAATGTTCAACACGGTGACTTGAATGCAATCATCTCAAAGCAGCTTCTGAGAATGTTTCCATGTAGCTTTCATGAGAAGATATTTCCTTTTCCACCCCAGGCCTCGAAGCCCTCCAAATGTCCCCTTGCAGATGCTAGAAAGAGAGGGTTTCAAAGCTGCTCTATCAAAAGGAAAGTACAACTCTGCGAGTTGAATGCAAACATCACAAAGAAGTTCCTGAGCAAGCTTCCGTTTAGCTTTTACGGGAAGATTATCCCTTTTCCATCGAAATGTTCAAAGAGGTCCACATATCTGCTTGCAGATTCCACCGATAGAGTGTTTCCAAACTGCTGCATCAAAAGGAATCCTCAGCTCCGTGAGTTGAATGCAATCATCACCAAGAAGTTTCTGACAATGCTTCTCTCTAGTTTTTATGTGAAGATATTTCCTTTTCCACCGCAGGCCTGAAAGCGCTCCAAATGTCCACTTGGAGGCTCTACGAAAAGAATGTTTCAAAACTGCTCTATGAAAAGCAATGTTATACTCTGGGAGTTGAACACAAGCCTCACAAAGGAGTTTCTGAGAATGCTTCTGTTTACTTTTTACGTGAGGATATTCCCGTTTCCAAAGAAGTCTTCACAGAGTTCCACCTATCCATTTGCAGATGCTAGCAAAAGAGAGTTTCAAAACTGCTCTATCAAAAGGAATGTTCAACTCTGTGAGTTGCATGCAATCATCACAGAGAAGTTTCTGAGAAGGCTTCTGTCTAGATTTTATGTGAAGATATAGCCGTTTCGAACGAAGGCCACAAAGTGCTCCAAATATCCACTTGCAGGTCCTCCAAAAAGAGTGTTTCAAACGTGAACTACCAAAGGAAGGCTCAACTCTGGACTTTGAATGCCAACGTCAGAAGGATGTTTCTGCGAAAGCTTCTGTTTAGTTAGGTGACGTTATCCCGTTTCCAACGAAATCCTCAGAGAGGTCCAAATATCCAACTGCAGAGTCTACAAAAAGCGTGTTTCAAAACTGCTCCACCCAAAGGAATGTTCAGCTCTGTGAGTTGAACTCAATCATCCCAAAGTATTTTCTGAGAATGCTTCTGTCCAGTTTTTACATGAAGCTGTTTCCTTTACTACCGTAGGCCTCAAAGCGTTCCAAACCTCCACTTGCAGATACTACGAAAAGAGCGTTTCAACCTGAACTCACAAGGGAAGGTTCAACTCTGTCAGTTGAATGCCAACATCACCAAGAACTTCTGAGAATGTTCCTCTTCAGTTATGTGAGTTTTATCCCGTTTCCAACGAAATTCTCAGAGAAGTCCCAAAAACCACTTGCATATTCCACAAAAGGTGTGTTTTGAAAATGCGCCATCAAAAGATATGCTCAGCTCTGTGAGTTCAACTCAATCATCACAAAGAATTTTCTGAGAATGCTTCTGTCTTGTTTTTAGATGAAGTTCTTTCCTTTACTACGACAGGCCTCAAAGAGGTCCAAATCTCCACTTGCAGATTCTGCAGAAGGAGTGTTTCAAACCTGAACTGTCAGAGAAAGGTTCAACACTGTGAGTTGAAGGCAAGCATCACGAAGAAGGTTCTGAGAATGCTTCCGTTTACATAGGTGAGTTCTCTCCCATATCCAACGAAATCCTCAGTGCGGTCCGAATCTCCACTTGCAGATTCTACACAAAGTGTGTTTGGAAACTGCTCCATCCAAAGCAATGTTCAGCTCCGTGAGTTGAACTCTATCGTCACAAAGTGTTTCCTGGGAATGCTACTGTCTCGTTTTTATGTGCAGTTTTATCCTCTACTGCCATAGGCCTCAAAGCGGTCCAAATCTCCCCTTTCAGATTCTACCGAAAGTGTGTTTCCAAACGGCTCCATCAAAGGGAATGTTCAGCTCGGTGACTTGAAAGCAATCATCACAAAGCAGCTTCTGAGAATGCTTCCATGTAGCTTTCATGAGAAGATATTTCCTTTTCCACCCCAGGCCTCGAAGCCCTCCAAATGTCCCCTTGCAGATGCTAGAAAGAGAGGGTTTCAAAGCTGCTCTATCAAAAGGAAAGTACAACTCTGCGAGTTGAATGCAAACATCACAAAGAAGTTCCTGAGCATGCTTCCGTTTAGCTTTTACGGGAAGATTATCCCTTTTCCATCGGAATGTTCAAAGAGGTCTACATATCCGCTTGCAGATTCCACCGAAAGAGTGTTTCCAAACTGCTGCATCAAAAGGAATCCTCAGCTCCGTGAGTTGAATGCAATCATCACCAAGAAGTTTCTGAGAATGCTTCTCTCTAGTTTTTATGTGAAGATATTTCCTTATCCACCACAGGCCTGAAAGCGCTCCAAATGTCCACTTGGAGGCTCTACGAAAAGAATGTTTCAAAACTGCTCCATGAAAAGCAATGTTATACTCTGGGAGTTGAACACAAGCCTCACAAAGGAGTTTCTGAGAATGCTTCTGTTTACTTTTTACGTGAGGATATTCCCGTTTCCAAAGAAGTCTTCACAGAGTTCCACCTATCCATTTGCAGATGCTAGCAAAAGAGAGTTTCAAAACTGCTCTATCAAAAGGAATGTTCAACTCTGTGAGTTGCATGCAATCATCACAGAGAAGTTTCTGAGAAGGCTTCTGTCTAGATTTTATGTGAAGATATAGCCGTTTCGAACGAAGGCCACAAAGTGCTCCAATATCCACTTGCAGGTCCTCCAAAAAGAGTGTTTCAAACGTGAACTACCAAAGGAAGGCTCAACTGTGGACTTTGAATGCCAACGTCAGAAAGATGTTTCCGCGAAAGCCTCTGTTTAGTTAGGTGACGTTATCCCGTTTCCAACGAAATCCTCAGAGAGGTCCAAATATCCACCTGCAGAGTCTACAAAAAGTGTGTTTCAAAACTGCTCCACCCAAAGGAATGTTCAGCTCTGTGAGTTGAACTCAATCATCCCAAAGTATTTTCTGAGAAGGCTTCTGTCCAGTTTTTACATGAAGCTGTTTCCTTTACTACTGTAGGCCTCAAAGCGTTCCAAACCTCCACTTGCAGATACTACGAAAAGAGCGTTTCAACCTGAACTCACAAGGGAAGGTTCAACTCTGTCAGTTGAATGCCAACGTTACCAAGAACTTCTGAGAATGTTCCTCTTCAGTTATGTGAGGTTTATCCCGTTTCCAACGAAATTCTCAGAGAAGTCCCAAAATCCACTTGCATATTCTACAAAAGGTGTGTTTTGAAAATGCGCCATCAAAAGATAGGCTCAGCTCTGTGAGTTAAACTCAATCATCGCAAAGAATTTTCTGAGAATGCTTCCGTCTTGTTTTTAGATGAAGTTCTTTCCTTTACTACGATAGGCCTCAAAGAGTTCCAAATCTCCACTTGCAGATTCTGCAGAAGGAGTGTTTCAAACCTGAACTGTCAGAGAAAGGTTCAATACTGTGAGTTGAATGCAAGCATCACGAAGAAGGTTCTGAGAATGCTTCTGTTTACGTAGGTGAGTTTTCTCCCGTATCCAACGAAATCCTCAGAGCGGTCCAAATCTCCACTTGCAGATTCTACACAAAGTGTGTTTGGAAACTGCTCCACCCAAAGGAATGTTCAGCTCTGTGAGTTGAACTCAATCGTCACAAAGCGTTTCCTGGGAATGCTCCTGTCTCGCTTTTATGTGCAGTTATATCCTCTACTGCCATAGGCCTCAAAGCGGTCCAAATCTCCCCTTTCAGATTCTACCAAAAGTGTGTTTCCAAACGGCCCCATCAAAGGGGATGTTCAACTCGGTGACTTGAATGCAATCATCACAAAGCAGCTTCTGAGAATGCTTCCATGTAGCTTTGATGAGAAGATATTTCCTTTTCCACCCCAGGACTCGAAGCCCTCCAAATGTCCCCTTGCAGATGCTAGAAAGAGAGGGTTTCAAAGCTGCTCTATCAAAAGGAAAGTACAACTCTGCGAGTTGAATGCAAACATCACAAAGAAGTTCCTGAGCATGCTTCCGTTTAGCTTTTACGGGAAGATTATCCCTTTTCCATCGAAATGTTCAAAGAGGTCCACATATCTGCTTGCAGATTCCACCGAAAGAGTGTTTCCAAACTGCTGCATCAAAAGGAATCCTCAGCTCCGTGAGTTGAATGCAATCATCACCAAGAAGTTTCTGACAATGCTTTCTCTCTAGCTTTTATGTGAAGTATATTTCCTTTTCCACCGCAGGCCTGAAAGCGCTCCAAATGTCCACTTGGAGGCTCTACGAAAAGAATGTTTCAAAACTGCTCTATGAAAAGCAATGTTATACTCTGGCAGTTGAACACAAGCCTCACAAAGGAGTTTCTGAGAATGCTTCTGTTTACTTTTTACGTGAGGATATTCCCGTTTCCAAAGAAGTCTTCACAGAGTTCCACCTATCCATTTGCAGATGCTAGCAAAAGAGAGTTTCAAAACTGCTCTATCAAAAGGAATGTTCAACTCTGTGAATTGCATGCAATCATCACAGAGAAGTTTCTGAGAAGGCTTCTGTCTAGATTTTATGTGAAGATATAGCCGTTTCGAACGAAGGCCACAAAGTGCTCCAAATATCCACTTGCAGGTCCTCCAAAAAGAGTGTTTCAAACGTGAACTACCAAAGGAAGGCTCAACTCTGGACTTTGAATGCCAACGTCAGAAGGATGTTTCTGCGAAAGCTTCTGTTTAGTTAGGCGACGTTATCCCGTTTCCAACGAAATCCTCAGAGAGGTCCAAATATCCACCTGCAGAGTCTACAAAAAGTGTGCTTCAAAACTGCTCCACCCAAAGGAATGTTCAGCTCTGTGAGTTGAACTCAATCATCCCAAAGTATTTTCTGAGAATGCTTCTGTCCAGTTTTTACATGAAGCTGTTTCCTTTACTACCGTAGGCCTCATAGCGTTCCAAATCTCCACTTGCAGATGCTACGAAAGGAGCGTTTCAACCTGAACTCACAAGGGAAGGTTCACCTCTGTCAGTTGAATGTCAACATCACAAAGAAGTTCTGAGAATGTTCCTCTTCAGTTACGTGAGGTTTATCCCTTTTCCAACGAAATTCTCAGAGAAGTCCCAATATCCACTTGCATATTCTACAAAACGTGTGTTTTGAAAATGCTCCATCAAAAGACCTGCTCTGCTCTGTGAGTTAAACTCAATCATCGCAAAGAATTTTCTGAGAATGCTTCCGTCTTGTTTTTAGATGAAGTTCTTTCCTTTACTACGATAGGCCTCAAAGAGGTCCAAATCTCCACTTGCAGATTCTGCAGAAGGAGTGTTTCAAACCTGAACTGTCAGAGAAAGGTTCAACACTGTGAGTTGAATGCAAGCATCACGAAGAAGGTTCTGAGAATGCTTCTGTTTACGTAGGTGACTTTTCTCCCGTATCCAACGAAATCCTCAGAGCGGTCCAAATCTCCACTTGCAGATTCTACACAAAGTGTGTTTGGAAACTGCTCCACCCAAAGGAATGTTCAGCTCTGTGAGTTGAACTCAATGGTCACAAAGCGTTTCCTGGGAATGCTCCTGTCTCGCTTTTATGTGCAGTTATATCCTCTACTGCCATAGGCCTCAAAGCGGTCCAAATCTCCCCTTTCAGATTCTACCAAAAGTGTGTTTCCAAACGGCCCCATCAAGGGGATGTTCAACTCGGTGACTTGAATGCAATCATCACAAAGCAGCTTCTGAGAATGCTTCCATGTAGCTCTGATGAGAAGATATTTCCTTTTCCACCCCAGGCCTCGAAGCCCCCCAAATGTCCCCTTGCAGATGCTAGAAAGAGGGGGTTTCAAAGCTGCTCTATCAAAAGGAAAGTACAACTCTGTGAGTTGAATGCAAACATCACAAGGAAGTTCCTGAGCATGCTCCGTTTAGCTTTTACGGGAAGATTATCCCTTTTCCATCGAAATGTTCAAAGAGGTCCACATATACGCTTGCAGATTCCACCGAAAGAGTGTTTCCAAACTGCTGCATCAAAAGGAATCCTCAGCTCCGTGAGTTGAATGCAATCATCACCAAGAAGTTTCTGACAATGCTTTCTCTCTAGTTTTTATGTGAAGATATTTCCTTTTCCAACACAGGCCTGAAAGCCCTCCAAATGTCCACCTGGATGCTCTACGAAAAGAATGTTTCAAAACTGCTCTATGAAAAGCAATGTTATACTCTGGGAGTTGAACACAAGCCCCACAAAGGAGTTTCTGAGAATGCTTCTGTTTACTTTTTACGTGGGGATATTCCCGTTTCCAAAGAAGTCTTCACAGAGTTCCACCTATCCATTTGCAGATGCCAGCAAAACTAGAGAGTTTCAAAACTGCTCTATCAAAAGGAATGTTCACCTCTGTGAGTTGCGTGCAATCATCACAGAGAAGTTTCTGAGAAGGCTTCTGTCTAGATTTTACGTGAAGAGATAGCCGTTTCGAACGAAGGCCACAAAGTGCTCCAAATATCCACTTGCAGGTCCTCCAAAAAGAGTGTTTCAAACGTGAACTACCAAAGGAAGGCTCACCTCTGGACTTTGAAGGCCAACGTCAGAAGGATGTTTCTGCGAAAGCTTCTGTTTAGTTAGGTGACGTTATCCCGTTTCCAACGAAATACTCAGAGAGGTCCAAATATCCACCTGCGGAGTCTACAAAAAGTGTGTTTCCAAACTGCTCCACCCAAAGGAATGTTCAGCTCTGTGAGTTGAACTCAATCGTCCCGAAGTATTTTCTGAGAATGCTTCTGTCCAGTTTTTACATGAAGCTGTTTCCTTTACTACCGTAGGCCTCAAAGCGTTCCAAACCTCCACTTGCAGATCCTACGAAAAGAGCGTTTCAACCTGAACTCACAAGGGAAGGTTCAACTCTGTCAGTTGAATGCCAACATCACCAAGAATTTCTGAGAATGTTCCTCTTCAGTTATGTGAGGTTTATCGCGTTTCCAACGAAATTCTCTGAGAAGTCCCAAAATCCACTTGCATATTCTACAAAAAGTGTGTTTTGAAAATGCGCCATCAAAAGATATGCTCAGCTCTGTGAGTTAAACTCAATCATCGTAAAGAATTTTCTGAGAATGCTTCTGTCTTGTTTTTAGATGAGGTTATATCCTTTACTACGATAGGCCTCAAAGAGGTCCAAATCTCCACTTGCAGATTCTGCAGAAGGAGTGTTTAAAACCTGAACTATCAGAGAAAGGTTGAACACTGTGAGTTGAATGCAAGCATCACGAAGAAGGTTCTGAGAATGCT
>NC_000001.11:122103091-122109869 GCF_000001405.40 Homo sapiens | reverse complement strand
GGAACATTCTCAGAAGTTCTTGGTGATGTTGGCATTCAACTGACAGAGTTGAACCTTCCCTTGTGAGTTCAGGTTGAAACGCTCTTTTCTTTTTTTTTTTTTTTTTTTTTTTTTTTTTTTTTGAGACGGAGTCTCGCTCTGTCGCCCAGGCTGGAGTGCAGTGGCGGCATCTCGGCTCACTGCAAGCTCCGCCTCCCGGGTTCACGCCATTCTCCTGCCTCAGCCTCCCAAGTAGCTGGGACTACAGGCGCCCGCCACTACGCCCGGCTAATTTTTTGTATTTTTAGTAGAGACGGGGTTTCACCGTTTAGCCGGGATGGTCCCTGTCTCCTTTTTATGTGCAGTTATATCCTCTACTGCCATAGGCCTCAAAGCGATCCAAATCTCCCCTTTCAGATTCTACCAAAAGTGTGTTTCCAAACGGCTCCATCAAAGGGAATGTTCAACTCGGTGACTTGAATGCAATCATCACAAACCAGTTTCTGAGAATGCTTCCATGTAGCTTTGATGAGAAGATATTTCCTTTTCCTCCCCAGGCCTCGAAGCCCTCCAAATGTCCCCTTGCAGATGCTAGAAAGAGGGGGTTTCAAAGCTGCTCTATCAAAAGGAAAGTACAACTCTGTGAGTTGAATGCAAACATCACAAGGAAGTTCCTCAGCATGCTTCCGTTTAGCTTTAACGGGAAGATTATCCCTTTTCCATCGAAATGTTCAAAGAGGTCCACATATCCGCTTGCAGATTCCACCGAAAGAGTGTTTCCAAACTGCTGCATCAAAAGGAATCCTCAGCTCCGTGAGTTGAGTGCGATCATCACCAAGAAGTTTCTGACAATGCGTCTCTCTAGTTTTTATGTGAAGATATTTCCTTTTCCAACGCAGGCCTCAAAGTGACCCAAATGTCCACTTGGAGGCACTACGAAAAGAATGTTTCAAAACTGCTCTATGAAAAGCAATGTTATACTCTGGGAGTTGAACACAAGCCTCACAAAGGAGTTTCTGAGAATGCTTCTGTTTACTTTTTACGTGAGGATATTCCCGTTTCCAAAGAAGTCTTCAAAGAGTTCCACCTACCCATTTGCAGATGCTAGCAAAAGAGAGTTTCAAAACTGCTCCATCAAAAGGAATGTTCAACTCTGTGAGTTGCATGCAATCATCACAGAGAAGTTTCTGAGAAGGCTTCTGTCTAGATTTTATGTGAAGATATGGCCGTTTCGAACGAAGGCCACAAAGTGCTCCCAATATCCACTTGCAGGTCCTCCAAAAAGAGTGTTTCAAACGTGAACTACCAAAGGAAGGCTCAACTCTGGACTTTGAATGCCAACGTCAGAAGGATGTTTCTGCGAAAGCTTCTGTTTAGTTAGGTGACGTTATCCCGTTTCCAACGAAATCCTCAGAGAGTTCCAAATATCCACCTGCAGAGTCTACAAAAAGTGTGTTTCAAAACTGCTCCACCCAAAGGAATGTTCAGCTCTGTGAGTTGAACTCAATCATCCCAAAGTATTTTCTGAGAATGCTTCTGTCCAGTTTTTACATGAAGCTGTTTCCTTTACTACCGTAGGCCTCAAAGCGTTCCAAACCTCCACTTGCAGATACTACGAAAAGAGCGTTTCAACCTGAACTCACAAGGGAAGGTTCAACTCTGCCAGTTGAATGCCAACATCACCAAGAACTTCTGAGAATGTTCCTCTTCAGTTATGTGAGGTTTATCCCGTTTCCAACGAAATTCTCAGAGAAGTCCCAATATCCACTTGCATATTCTACAAAACGTGTGTTTTGAAAATGCTCCATCAAAAGACCTGCTCAGCTCTGTGAGTTAAACTCAATCATCGCAAAGAATTTTCTGAGAATGCTTCCGTCTTGTTTTTAGCTGAAGTTCTTTCCTTTACTACGATAGGCCTCAAAGAGGTCCAAATCTCCACTTGCAGATTCTGCAGAAGGAGTGTTTCAAACCTGAACTGTCAGAGAAAGGTTCAACACTGTGAGTTGAATGCAAGCATCACGAAGAAGGTTCTGAGAATGCTTCTGTTTATGTAGGTGACTTTTCTCCCGTATCCAACGAAATCCTCAGAGCGGTCCAAATCTCCACTTGCAGATTCTACACAAAGTGTGTTTGGAAACTGCTCCACCCAAAGGAATGTTCGGCTCTGTGAGTTGAACTCAATGGTCACAAAGCGTTTCCTGGGAATATTCCTGTCTCGCTTTTATGTGCAGTTATATCCTCTACTGCCATAGGCCTCAAAGAGGTCCAAATCTCCCCTTTCAGATTCTACCAAAAGTGTGTTTCCAAACGGCCCCATCAAAGGGGATGTTCAACTCGGTGACTTGAATGCAATCATCACAAAGCAGCTTCTGAGAATGCTTCCATGTAGCTTTGATGAGAAGATATTTCCTTTTCCACCCCCGGCCTCGAAGCCCTCCAAATGTCCCCTTGCAGATGCTAGAAAGAGGGGGTTTCAAAGCTGCTCTATCAGAAGGAAAGTACAACTCTGTGAGTTGAATGCAAACATCACAAGGAAGTTCCTGAGCATGCTTCCGTTTAGCTTTTACGGGAAGATTATCCCTTTTCCATAGAAATGTTCAAAGAGGTCCACATATCCGCTTGCAGATTCCACCGAAAGAGTGTTTCCAAACTGCTGCATCAAAAGGAATCCTCAGCTCCGTGAGTTGAATGCAATCATCACCAAGAAGTTTCTGACAATGCTTCTCTCTAGCTTTTATGTGAAGATATTTCCTTTTCCACCGCAGGCCTGAAAGCGCTCCAAATGTCCACTTGGAGGCTCTACTAAAAGAATGTTTCAAAACTGCTCTATGAAAAGCAATGTTATACTCTGGGAGTTGAACACAAGCCTCACAAAGGAGTTTCTGAGAATGCTTCTGTTTACTTTTTACGTGAGGATATTCCCGTTTCCAAAGAAGTCTTCACAGATTTCCACCTATCCATTTGCAGATGCCAGGAAAACTAGAGAGTTTCAAAACTGCTCTATCAAAAGGAATGTTCAACTCTGTGAGTTGCGTGCAATCGTCACAGAGAAGTTTCTGAGAAGGCTTCTGTCTAGATTTTATGTGAAGATATAGCCGTTTCGAACGAAGGCCACAATGTGCTCCAAATATCCACTTGCAGGTCCTCCAAAAAGAGTGTTTCAAACGTGAACTACCAAAGGAAGGCTCAACTCTGGACTTTGAAGGCCAACGTCAGAAGGATGTTTCTGCGAAAGCTTCTGTTTAGTTAGGTGACGTTATCCCTTCTGCAACGAAATCCTCAGAGAGGTCCAAATATCCACCTGCAGAGTCTACAAAAAGTGTGTTTCAAAACTGCTCCACCCAAAGGAATGTTCAGCTCTGTGAGTTGAACTCAATCATCCCAAAGTATTTTCTGAGAATGCTTCTGTCCAGTTTTTACATGAAGCTGTTTCCTTTACTACCGTAGGCCTCAAAGCGTTCCAAACCTCCACTTGCAGATACTACGAAAAGAGCGTTTCAACCTGAACTCACAAGGGAAGGTTCAACTCTGTCAGTTGAATGCCAACATCACCAAGAAGTTCTGAGAATGTTCCTCTTCAGTTACGTGAGGTTTATCCCGTTTCCAAAGAAATTCTCAGAGAAGTCCCAAAATCCACTTGCATATTCCACAAAAGGTGTGTTTTGAAAATGCGCCATCAAAAGATATGCTCAGCTCTGTGACTTAAACTCAATCATCGCAAAGTATTTTCTGAGAATGCTTCTGTCTTGTTTTTAGATGAAGGTCTTTCCTTTACTACGATAGGCCTCAAAGAGTTCCAAATCTCCACTTGCAGATTCTGCAGGAGGAGTGTTTCAAACCTGAAATGTCAGAGAAAGGTTCAACACTGTGAGTTGAATGCAAGCATCACGAAGAAGGTTCTGAGAATGCTCTGTTTGTGTAGGTGACTTCTCTCCCGTATCCAACGAAGTCCTCAGAGCGGTCCAAATCTCCACTTGCAGATTCTACACAAAGTGTGTTTGGAAACTGCTCCATCCAAAGGAATGTTCAGCTCTGTGAGTTGAACTCAAGCATCACAATGTGTTTCCTGGGAATGCTCACTGTCTCGTTTTTATGTGCAGTTATATCCTCTACTGCCATAGGCCTCAAAGCGGTCCAAATCTCCCCTTTCAGATTCTACCAAAAGTGTGTTTCCAAACGGCTCCATCAAAGGGAATGTTCAACTCGGTGACTTGAAAGCAATCATCACACAGCAGTTTCTGAGAATGCTTCCATGTATCTTTGATGAGAAGATATTTCCTTTTCCACCCCAGGCCTCGAAGCCCTCCAAATGTCCCCTTGCAGATGCTAGAAAGGGAGGGTTTCAAAGCTGCTCTATCAAAAGGAAAGTACAACACTGCGAGTTGAATGCAAACATCACAAAGAAGTTCCTGAGCATGCTTCCGTTTAGCTTTTACGGGAAGATTATCCCTTTTCCATCGAAATGTTCAAAGAGGTCCACATATCCGCTTGCAGATTCCACCGAAAGAGTGTTTCCAAACTGCTGCATCCAAAGGAATCCTCAGCTCCGTGAGTTGAATGCAATCATCACCAAGAAGTTTCTGACAATGCTTCTCTCTAGTTTTTATGTGAAGATATTTCCTTTTCCACCGCAGGCCTGAAAGCGCTCCAAATGTCCACTTGGAGGCTCTACGAAAAGAATGTTTCAAAACTGCTCTATGAAAAGCAATGTTATACTCTGGGAGTTGAACACAAGCCTCACAAAGGAGTTTCTGAGAATGCTTCTGTTTACTTTTTACGTGAGGATATTCCCGTTTCCAAAGAAGTCTTCACAGAGTTCCACCTATCCATTTGCAGATGCTAGCAAAAGAGAGTTTCAAAACTGCTCCATCAAAAGGAATGTTCAACTCTGTGAGTTGCAGGCAATCATCACAGAGAAGTTTCTGAGAAGGCTTCTGTCTAGATTTTACGTGAAGATATAGCCGTTTCGAA
Organism: Homo sapiens; assembly: GCF_000001405.40. Taxonomy (NCBI): domain Eukaryota; kingdom Metazoa; phylum Chordata; class Mammalia; order Primates; family Hominidae; genus Homo; species Homo sapiens. The sequence continues at coordinate 122,104,919 of NC_000001.11, read as the reverse complement.
CAAAGGCCACAAAGTGCTCCAAATATCCACTTGCAGGTCCTCCAAAAAGAGTGTTTCAAACGTGAACTACCAAAGGAAGGCTCAACTCTGGACTTTGAAGGCCAACGTCAGAAGGATGTTTCTGCGAAAGCTTCTGTTTAGTTAGGTGACGTTATCCCGTTTGCAACGAAATCCTCAGAGAGGTCCAAATATCCACCTGTGGAGTCTACAAAAAGTGTGTTTCAAAACTGCTCCACCCAAAGGAATGTTCAGCTCTGTGAGTTGAACTCAATCGTCCCGAAGTATTTTCTGAGAATGCTTCTGTCCAGTTTTTACATGAAGCTGTTTCCTTTACTACCGTAGGCCTCAAAGCGTTCCAAACCTCCACTTGCAGATACTACGAAAAGAGGGTTTCAACCTGAACTCACAAGGGAAGGTCCAACTCTGTCAGTTGAATGCCAACATCACCAAGAACTTCTGAGAATGTTCCTCTTCAGTTACGTGAGGTTTATCCCGTTTCCAACGAAATTCTCAGAGAAGTCCCAAAATCCACTTGCATATTCCACAAAAGGTGTGTTTGGAAAATGCGCCATCAAAAGATATGCTCAGCTCTGTGAGTTAAACTCAATCATTGCAAAGAATTTTCTGAGAATGCTTCTGTCTTGTTTTTAGATGAAGTTCTTTCCTTTACTACGACAGGCCTCAAAGAGGTCCAAATCTCCACTTGCAGATTCTGCAGAAGGAGTGTTTCAAACCTGAACTGTCAGAGAAAGGTTCAACACTGTGAGTTGAAGGCAAGCATCACGAAGAAGGTTCTGAGAATGCTTCCGTTTACGTAGGTGAGTTCTCTCCCGTATCCAACGAAATCCTCAGAGCGGTCCGAATCTCCACTTGCAGATACTACACAAAGTGTGTTTGGAAACTGCTCCATCCAAAGGAATGTTCAGCTCCGTGAGTTGAACTCAATCGTCACAAAGTGTTTCCTGGGAATGCTACTGTCTCGTTTTTATGTGCAGTTATATCCTCTACTGCCATAGGCCTCAAAGCGGTCCAAATCTCCCCTTTCAGATTCTACCAAAAGTGTGTTTCCAAACGGCTCCATCAAAGGGAATGTTCAACTCGGTGACTTGAAAGCAATCATCACACAGCAGTTTCTGAGAATGCTTCCATGTATCTTTGATGAGAAGATATTTCCTTTTCCACCCCAGGCCTCGAAGCCCTCCAAATGTCCCCTTGCAGATGCTAGAAAGGGAGGGTTTCAAAGCTGCTCTATCAAAAGGAAAGTACAACACTGCGAGTTGAATGCAAACATCACAAAGAAGTTCCTGAGCATGCTTCCGTTTAGCTTTTACGGGAAGATTATCCCTTTTCCATCGGAATGTTCAAAGAGGTCCACATATCCGCTTGCAGCTTCCACCGAAAGAGTGTTTCCATACTGCTGCACCAAAAGGAATCCTCAGCTCCGTGAGTTGAATGCAATCATCACCAAGAAGATTCTGAGAATGCTTCTCTCTAGTTTTTATGTGAAGATATTTCCTTTTCCACCGCAGGCCTGAAAGCGCTCCAAATGTCCACTTGGAGGCTCTACGAAAAGAATGTTTCAAAACTGCTCTATGAAGAGCAATGTTATACTCTGGGAGTTGAACACAAGCCTCACAAAGGAGTTTCTGAGAATGCTTCTGTTTACTTTTTACGTGAGGATATTCCCGTTTCCAAAGAAGTCTTCACAGAGTTCCACCTATCCATTTGCAGATGCTAGCAAAAGAGAGTTTCAAAACTGCTCCATCAAAAGGAATGTTCAACTCTGTGAGTTGAACTCAAGCGTCACAAAGTGTTTCCTGGGAATGCT
>NC_000001.11:122056934-122102991 GCF_000001405.40 Homo sapiens | reverse complement strand
GAAGCATTGGCAGAAACTTCTTTGGGATGTTTGCATTTTATGTTTGTTGAAATAGAGAGTTGATGACTGGAGCTCATTCAGGCATTTCAGTTCCTGAGGCGGAAGTCCTAGTCTGAGTATGATTGAACAGAAAGAGAGAGGAGCTTTGGTCCCTGATAATTTTATGAATTTCAACAGGATGCCTTTATCTTGATGTCTTTATATGAAAGCGAATCAATCTGTATCTTTCCTGGAAAGAGACAGAGAGAGACGGAGAGGGAGAGAGGGAGAGAGAGAGAAAGAGGGAGGGACCGAGAATATACATATATATGTTCTAGTGCTTCTGCTTACATTCCATTGAATGGACTTCTGCTTACACTTCTGATTACATTCCATTAAATAGAATTTAATCTTGTGGCTAACTCTAGCTCTGAGATAAATAAGAAAATGTAGTTTTTATTCTAATTATTTGTGAATACATCAGGGGTGCAATTTCCCAAAAAGAATAATTACTATGCTTTTTTGGAATATGAGTAGACTCCAACATAAGAAGCCATTGGGTGGTGTTGAGCACAGGCATGACACAAACTGATTTAGATTTTTTTATTTTTTTTTTTTCTGCTGTTTTTTTCTGTTTAGTTAGGTGACGTTATCCCGTTTCCAACGAAATCCTCAGAGAGGTCCAAATATCCACCTGCAGAGTCTACAAAAAGTGTGTTTCAAAACTGCTCCACCCAAAGGAATGTTCAGCTCTGTGAGTTGAACTCAATCGTCCCAAAGTATTTTCTGAGAATGCTTCTGTCCAGTGTTTACATGAAGCTGTTTCCTTTACTACCGTAGGCCTCAAAGCGTTCCAAACCTCCACTTGCAGATACTACGAAAAGAGCGTTTCAACCTGAACTCACAAGGGAAGGTTCAACTCTGTCAGTTGAATGCCAACATCACCAAGAACTTCTGAGAATGTTCCTCTTCAGTTACGTGAGGTTTATCCCGTTTCCAAAGAAATTCTCAGAGAAGTCCCAAAATCCACTTGCATATTCCACAAAAGGTGTGTTTGGAAAATGCGCCATCAAAAGATATGCTCAGCTCTGTGAGTTAAACTCAATCATCGCAAAGAATTTTCTGAGAATGCTTCCGTCTTGTTTTTAGATGAAGTTCTTTCCTTTACTATGATAGGCCTCAAGGAGGTCCAAATCTCCACTTGCAGATTCTGCAGAAGGAGTGTTTCAAACCTGAACTGTCAGAGAAAGGTTCAACACTGTGAGTTGAATGCAAGCATCACGAAGAAGGTTCTGAGAATGCTTCTGTTTACGTAGGTGACTTTTCTCCCGTATCCAACGAAATCCTCAGAGCGGTCCAAATCTCCACTTGCAGATTCTACACAAAGTGTTTTTGGAAACTGCTCCACCCAAAGGAATGTTCAGCTCTGTGAGTTGAACTCAATCGTCACAAAGCGTTTCCTGGGAATGCTCCTGTCTCGCTTTTATGTGCAGTTATAACCTCTACTGCCATAGGCCTCAAAGCGGTCCAAATCTCCCCTTCCAGATTCTACCAAAAGTGTGTTTCCAAACGGCCCCATCAAAGGGGATGTTCAACCCGGTGACTTGAATGCAATCATCACAAAGCAGCTTCTGAGAATGCTTCCATGTAGCTTTGATGAGAAGATATTTCCTTTTCCACCCCAGGCCTCGAAGCCCTCCAAATGTCCCCTTGCAGATGCTAGAAAGAGGGGGTTTCAAAGCTGCTCTATCAAAAGGAAAGTACAACTCTGTGAGTTGAATGCAAACATCACAAGGAAGTTCCTGAGCATGCTTCCGTTTAGCTTTTATGGGAAGATTATCCCTTTTCCATCGAAATGGTCAAAGAGGTCCACATATCCGCTTGCAGATTCCACCGAAAGAGTGTTTCCAAACTGCTGCATCAAAAGGAATCCTCAGCTACCGTGAGTTGAATGCAATCATCACCAAGAAGTTTCTGACAATGCTTCTCTCTAGTTTTTATGTGAAGATATTTCCTTTTCCACCGCAGGCCTGAAAGCGCTCCAAATGTCCACTTGGAGGCTCTACGAAAAGAATGTTTCAAAACTGCTCTATGAAAAGCAATGTTATACTCTGGGAGTTGAACACAAGCCTCACAAAGGAGTTTCTGAGAATGCTTCTGTTTACTTTTTACGTGGGGATATTCCCGTTTCCAAAGAAGTCTTCACAGAGTTCCACCTATCCATTTGCAGATGCCAGCAAAACTAGAGAGTTTCAAAACTGCTCTATCAAAAGGAATGTTCACCTCTGTCAGTTGCGTGCAATCATCACAGAGAAGTTTCTGAGAAGGCTTCTGTCTAGATTTTATGTGAAGATATGGCCGTTTCGAACGAAGGCCACAAAGTGCTCCCAATATCCACTTGCAGGTCCTCCAAAAAGAGTGTTTCAAACGTGAACTACCAAAGGAAGGCTCAACTCTGGACTTTGAATGCCAACGTCAGAAGGATGTTTCTGCGAAAACTTCTGTTTAGTTAGGTGACGTTATCCCGTTTCCAACGAAATCCTCAGAGAGGTCCAAATATCCACCTGCGGAGTCTACAAAAAGTGTGTTTCCAAACTGCTCCACCCAAAGGAATGTTCAGCTCTGTGAGTTGAACTCAATCGTCCCAAAGTATTTTGTGAGAATGCTTCTGTCCACTTTTTACATGAAGCTGTTTCCTTTACTACCGCAGGCCTGAAAGCGTTCCAAACCTCCACTTGCAGATACTACGAAAAGAGCGTTTCAACCTGAACTCAAAAGGGAAGGTTCAACTCTGTCAGTTGAATGCCAACATCACCAAGAACTTCTGAGAATGTTCCTCTTCAGTTACGTGAGGTTTATCCCGTTTCCAACGAAATTCTCAGAGAAGTCCCAAAATCCACTTGCATATTCCACAAAAGGTGTGTTTGGAAAATGCGCCATCAAAAGATATGCTCAGCTCTGTGAGTTAAACTCAATCATCGCAAAGAATTTTCTGAGAATGCTTCTGTCTTGTTTTTAGATGAAGTTCTTTCCTTTACTACGACAGGCCTCAAAGAGGTCCAAATCTCCACTTGCAGATTCTGCAGAAGGAGTGTTTCAAACCTGAACTGTCAGAGAAAGGTTCAATACTGTGATTTGAAGGCAAGCATCACGAAGAAGGTTCTGAGAATGCTTCTGTTTACGTAGGTGACTTTTCTCCCTATCCAACGAAATCCTCAGAGCGGTCCAAATCTCCACTTGCAGATTCTACACAAAGTGTGTTTGGAAACTGCTCCACCCAAAGGAATGTTCAGCTCTGTGAGTTGAACTCAATCGTCACAAAGCGTTTCCTGGGAATGCTCCTGTGTCGCTTTTATGTGCAGTTATATCCTCTACTGCCATAGGCCTCAAAGCGGTCCAAATCTCCCCTTTCAGATCCTACCAAAAGTGTGTTTCCAAACGGCTCCATCAAAGGGAATGTTCAACTCGGTGACTTGAATGCAATCATCCCAAAGCAGCTTCTGAGAATGCTTCCATGTAGCTTTGATGAGAAGATATTTCCTTTTCCACCCCAGGCCTCGAAGCCCTCCAAATGTCCCCTTGCAGATGCTAGAAAGAGAGGGTTTCAAAGCTGCTCTATCAAAAGGAATGTTCAACTCTGTGAGTTGCATGCAATCATCACAGAGAAGTTTCTGAGAAGGCTTCCGTTTAGCTTTTACGGGAAGATTATCCCTTTTCCATCAAAATGTTCAAAGAGGTCCACATATCCGCTTGCAGATTCCACCGAAAGAGTGTTTCCAAACTGCTGCATCCAAAGGAATCCTCAGCTCCGTGAGTTGAATGCAATCATCACCAAGAAGTTTCTGACAATGTTTCTCTCTAGTTTTTATGTGAAGATATTTCCTTTTCCAACACAGGCCTGAAAGCGCTCCAAATGTCCACTTGGAGGCTCTACGAAAAGAATGTTTCAAAACTGCTCTATGAAAAGCAATGTTATACTCTGGGAGTTGAACACAAGCCTCACAAAGGAGTTTCTGAGAATGCTTCTGTTTACTTTTTACGTGAGGATATTCCCGTTTCCAAAGAAGTCTTCACAGAGTTCCACCTATCCATTTGCAGATGCTAGCAAAAGAGAGTTTCAAAACTGCTCCATCAAAAGGAATCTTCAACTCTGTGAGTTGCATGCAATCATCACAGAGAAGTTTCTGAGAAGGCTTCTGTCTAGATTTGATGTGAAGATATGGCCGTTTCGAACGAAGGCCACAAAGTGCTCCCAATATCCACTTGCAGGTCCTCCAAAAAGAGTGTTTCAAACGTAAACTACCAAAGGAAGGCTCAACTCTGGACTTTGAATGCCAACGTCAGAAGGATGTTTCTGCGAAAGCTTCTGTTTTGTTAGGTGACGTTATCCCGTTTCCAACGAAATCCTCAGAGAGGTCCAAATATCCACCTGCAGAGTCTACAAAAAGTGTGTTTCAAAACTGCTCCACCCAAAGGAATGTTCAGCTCTGTGAGTTGAACTCAATCATCCCAAAGTATTTTCTGAGAATGCTTCTGTCCAGTTTTTACATGAAGCTGTTTCCTTTACTACCGTATGCCTCAAAGCGTTCCAAATCTCCACTTGGAGATAGTACGAAAAGAGCGTTTCAACCTGAACTAACAAGGGAAGGTTCAACTCTGTCAGTTGAATGCCAACATCACCAAGAAGTTCTGAGAATGTTCCTCTTCAGTTATGTGATGTTTATCCGGTTTCCAACGAAATTCTCAGAGAATTCCCAAAATCCACTTGCATATTCTACAAAAGGTGTGTTCTGAAAATGCGCCATCAAAAGATATGCTCCGCTCTGTGAGTTAAGCACAATCATCACAAAGAATTTTCTGAGAATGCTTCTGTCTTGTTTTTAGATGAAGTTCTTTCCTTTACTACGATAGGCCTCAAAGAGGTCCAAATCTCCACTTGCAGATTCTGCAGAAGGAGTGTTTCAAACCTGAACTATGAGAGAAAGGTTCAACACTGTGAGATGAATGCAAGCATCACAAAGAAGTTTCTGAGAATGCTTCTGTTTACGTATGTGGCTTTTCTCCCGTATCCAACGAAATCCTCAGAGCGGTCCAAATCTCCACTTGCAGATTCTACACAAAGTGTGTTTGGAAACTGCTCCATCCAAAGGAATATTCAGCTCCGTGAGTTGAACTCAATCGTCACAAAGCGTTTCCTGAGAATGCTCCTGTCTCGTTTTTATGTGCAGTTATATCCTCTACTGCCATAGGCCACAAAGCAGTCCAAATCTCCCCTTTCAGATCCTACCAAAAGTGTGTTTCCAAACGGCTCCATCAAAGGGAATGTTCAACTCGCTGACTTGAATGCAATCATTCCAAAGCAGCTTCTGAGAATGCTTCCATGTAGCTTTGATGAGAAGATATTTCCTTTTCCACCCCAGGCCTCGAAGCCCTCCAAATGTCCCCTTGCAGATGCTAGAAAGAGGGGGTTTCAAAGCTGCTCTATCAAAAGGAAAGTACAACGCTGTGAGTTGAATGCAAACATCACAAGGAAGTTCCTGAGCATGCCTCCGTTTAGTTTTTACGGGAAGATTATCCCTTTTCCATCGAAATGTTCAAAGAGGTCCACATATCCGCTTGCAGATTCCACCGAAAGGGTGTTTCCAAACTGCTGCATCCAAACGAATCCTCAGCTCCGTGAGTTGAAGGCAATCATCACCAAGAAGTTTCTGACAATGCTTCTCTCTAGCTTTTATGTGAAGATATTTCCTTTTCCACCGCAGGCCTGAAAGCGCTCCAAATGTCCACTTGGAGGCTCTACGAAAAGAATGTTTCAAAACTGCTCTATGAAAAGCAATGTTATACTCTGGCAGTTGAACACAAGCCTCACAAAGGAGTTTCTGAGAATGCTTCTGTTTACTTTTTACGTGAGGATATTCCCGTTTCCAAAGAAGTCTTCACAGAGTTCCACCTATCCATTTGCAGATGCTAGCAAAAGAGAGTTTCAAAACTGCTCCATCAAAAGGAATGTTCAACTCTGTGAGTTGCATGCAATCATCACAGAGAAGTTTCTGAGAAGGCTTCTGTCTAGATTTTATGTAAAGATATAGCCGTTTCGAACGAAGGCCACAAAGTGCTCCAAATATCCACTTGCAGGTCCTCCAAAAAGAGTGTTTCAAACGTGAACTACCAAAGGAAGGCTCAACTCTGGACTTTGAAGGCCAACGTCAGAAGGATGTTTCTGCAAAAGCTTCTGTTTAGTTAGGTGACGTTATCCCGTTTCCAACGAAATCCTCAGAGAGGTCCAAATATCCACCTGCAGAGTCTACAAAAAGTGTGTTTCAAAACTGCTCCACCCAAAGGAATGTTCAGCTCTGTGAGTTGAACTCAATCATCCCAAAGTATTTTCTGAGAATGCTTCTGTCCAGTTTTTACATGAAGCTTTTTCCTTTACTACCGTAGGCCTCAAATCGTTCCAAACTTCCAATTGCAGATACTACGAAAAGAGAGTTTCAACCTGAACTCACAAGGGAAGGTTCAACTCTGCCAGTTGAATGCCAACATCACCAAGAACTTCTGAGAATGTTCCTCTTCAGTTACGTGAGGTTTATCCCGTTTCCAACGAAATTCTCAGAGAAGTCCCAAAATCCACTTGCATATTCCACAAAAGGTGTGTTTTGAAAATGCGCCATCAAAAGATATGCTCAGCTCTGTGAGTTAAACTCAATCATCGCAAAGAATTTTCTGAGAATGCTTCCGTCTTGTTTTTAGATGAAGTTCTTTCCTTTACTACGATAGGCCTCAAAGAGGTCCAAATCTCCACTAGCAGATTTTGCAGAAGGAGTGTTTCAAACCTGAACTGTCAGAGAAAGGTTCAACACTGTGAGTTGAATGCAAGCATCACGAAGAAGGTTCTGAGAATGCTTCTGTTTACGTAGGTGACTTTTCTCCCGTATCCAATGAAATCCTCAGAGCGGTCCAAATCTCCACTTGAAGATTCTACACAAAGTGTGTTTGGAAACTGCTCCACCCAAAGGAATGTTCAGCTCTGTGAGTTGAACTCAATCGTCACAAAGCGTTTCCTGGGAATGCTCCTGTCTCGCTTTTATGTGCAGTTATATCCTCTACTGCCATAGGCCTCAAAGCGGTCCAAATCTCCCCTTTCAGATTCTACCAAAAGTGTGTTTCCAAACGGCCCCATCAAAGGGGATGTTCAACTCGGTGACTTGAATGCAATCATCACAAAGCAGCTTCTGAGAATGCTTCCATGTAGCTTTGATGAGAAGATATTTCCTTTTCCACCCCAGGCCTCGAAGCCCTCCAAATGTCCCCTTGCAGATGCTAGAAAGAGGGGGTTTCAAAGCTGCTCTATCAAAAGGAAAGTACAACTCTGTGAGTTGAATGCAAACATCACAAGGAAGTTCCTGAGCATGCTTCCGTTTAGCTTTTACGGGAAGATTATCCCTTTTCCATCGAAATGTTCAAAGAGGTCCACATATCCGCTTGCAGATTCCACCGAAAGAGTGTTTCCAAACTGCTGCATCCAAAGGAATCCTCAGCTCCGTGAGTTGAATGCAATCATCACCAAGAAGTTTCTGACAATGTTTCTCTCTAGTTTTTATGTGAAGATATTTCCTTTTCCACCGCAGGCCTGAAAGCGCTCCAAATGTTCACTTGGAGGCTCTACGAAAAGAATGTTTCAAAACTGCCCTATGAAAAGCAATGTTATACTCTGGGAGTTGAACACAAGCCTCACAAAGGAGTTTCTGAGAATGCTTCTGTTTACTTTTTACGTGAGGATATTCCCGTCTCCAAAGAAGTCTTCACAGAGTTACACCTATCCATTTGCAGATGCCAGCAAAACTAGAGAGTTTCAAAACTGCTCTATCAAAAGGAATGTTCAACTCTGTGAGTTGCGTGCAATCATCACAGAGAAGTTTCTGAGAAGGCTTCTGTCTAGATTGTATGTGAAGATATAGCCGTTTCGAACGAAGGCCACAAAGTGCTCCAAATATCCACTTGCAGGTCCTCCAAAAAGAGTGTTTCAAACGTGAACTACCAAAGGAAGGCTCAACTCGGGACTTTGAAGACCAACGTCAGAAGGATGTTTCTGCGGAAGCTTCTGTTTAGTTAGGTGACGTTATCCCGTTTCCAACGAAATCCTCAGAGAGGTCCAAATATCCACCTGCAGAGTCTACAAAAAGTGTGTTTCAAAACTGCTCCACCCAAAGGAAGGTTCAGCTCTGTGAGTTGAACTCAATCATCCCAAAGTATTTTCTGAGAAGGCTTCTGTCCAGTTTTTACATGAAGCTGTTTCCTTTACTACCGTAGGCCTCAAAGCGTTCCAAACCTCCACTTGCAGATACTACGAAAAGAGCGTTTCAACATGAACTCACAAGGGAAGGTTCAACTCTGCCAGTTGAATGCCAACATCAAGAAGAACTTCTGAGAATGTTCCTCTTCAGTTACGTGAGGTTTATCCCCTTTCCAACGAAATTCTCAGAGAAGTCCCAAAATCCACTTGCATATTCCACAAAAGGTGTGTTTTGAAAATGCGCCATCAAAAGATATGCTCAGCTCTGTGAGTTAAACTCAATCATCGCAAAGTATTTTCTGAGAATGCTTCCGTCTTGTTTTTAGATGAAGTTCTTTCCTTTACTACGATAGGCCTCAAGGAGGTCCAAATGTCCACTTGCAGATTCTGCAGAAGGAGTGTTTCAAACCTGAACTGTCAGAGAAAGGTTCAACACTGTGAGTTGAATGCACGCATCACGAAGAAGGTTCTGAGAATGCTTCTGTTTACGTAGGTGACTTTTCTCCCGTATCCAACGAAATCCTCAGAGCGGTCCAAATCTCCACTTGCAGATTCTACACAAAGTGTGTTTGGAAACTGCTTCACCCAAAGGAATGTTCAGCTCTGTGAGTTGAACTCAATCGTCACAAAGCGTTTCCTGGGAATGCTCCTGTCTCGCTTTTATGTGCAGTTATATCCTCTACTGCCATAGGCCTCAAAGCGGTCCAAATCTCCCCTTTCAGATTCTACCAAAAGTGTGTTTCCAAACGGCCCCATCAAAGGGGATGTTCAACTCGGTGACTTGAATGCAATCATCACAAAGCAGCTTCTGAGAATGCTTCCATGTAGCTTTGATGAGAAGATATTTCCTTTTCCACCCCAGGCCTCGAAGCCCTCCAAATGTCCCCTTGCAGATGCTAGAAAGAGGGGGTTTCAAAGCTGCTCTATCAAAAGGAAAGTACAACTCTGTGAGTTGAATGCAAACATCACAAGGAAGTTCCTGAGCATGCTTCCGTTTAGCTTTTACGGGAAGATTATCCCTTTTCCATCGAAATGTTCAAAGAGGTCCACATATCCGCTTGCAGATTCCACCGAAAGAGTGTTTCCAAACTGCTGCATCCAAAGGAATCCTCAGCTCCGTGAGTTGAATGCAATCATCACCAAGAAGTTTCTGACAATGCTTCTCTCTAGTTTTTATGTGAAGATATTTCCTTTTCCACCGCAGGCCTGAAAGCGCTCCAAATGTCCACTTGGAGGCTCTACGAAAAGAATGTTTCAAAACTGCTCTATGAAAAGCAATGTTATACTCTGGGAGTTGAACACAAGCCTCACAAAGGAGTTTCTGAGAATGCTTCTGTTTACTTTTTACGTGAGGATATTCCCGTTTCCAAAGAAGTCTTCAAAGAGTTCCACCTACCCATTTGCAGATGCTAGCAAAAGAGAGTTTCAAAACTGCTCCATCAAAAGGAATGTTCAACTCTGTGAGTTGCATGCAATCATCACAGAGAAGTTTCTGAGAAGGCTTCTGTCTAGATTTTATGTGAAGATATGGCCGTTTCGAACGAAGGCCACAAAGTGCTCCCAATATCCACTTGCAGGTCCTCCAAAAAGAGTGTTTCAAACGTGAACTACCAAAGGAAGGCTCAACTCTGGACTTTGAATGCCAACGTCAGAAGGATGTTTCTGCGAAAGCTTCTGTTTAGTTAGGTGACGTTATCCCGTTTCCAACGAAATCCTCAGAGAGTTCCAAATATCCACCTGCAGAGTCTACAAAAAGTGTGTTTCAAAACTGCTCCACCCAAAGGAATGTTCAGCTCTGTGAGTTGAACTCAATCATCCCAAAGTATTTTCTGAGAATGCTTCTGTCCAGTTTTTACATGAAGCTGTTTCCTTTACTACCGTAGGCCTCAAAGCATTCCAAACCTCCACTTGCAGATACTACGAAAAGAGCGTTTCAACCTGAACTCACAAGGGAAGGTTCAACTCTGTCAGTTGAATGCCAACATCACCAAGAAATTCTGAGAATGTTCCTCTTCAGTTATGTGAGGTTTATCCCGTTTCCAACGAATTTCTCAGAGAAGTCCCAAAATCCACTTGCATATTCTACAAAAGGTGTGTTTTGAAAACGCGCCATCAAAAGATATGCTCAGCTCTGTGAGTTAAACTCAATCATCGCAAAGAATTTTCTGAGAATGCTTCTGTCTTGTTTTTAGATGAAGTTCTTTCCTTTACTACGATAGTCCTCAAAGAGGTCCAAATCTCCACTTGCAGATTCTGCACAAGGAGTGTTTCAAACCTGAACAGTCAGAGAAAGGTTCTACACTGTGAGTTGAATGCAAGCATCACGAAGAAGGTTCTGAGAATGCTTCTGTTTACGTAGGTGACTTTTCTCCCGTATCCAACGAAATCCTCAGAGCGGTCCAAATCTCCACTTGCAGATTCTACACAAGGTGTGTTTGGAAACTGCTCCACCCAAAGGAATGTTCACGTCTGTGAGTTGAACTCAATGGTCACAAAGCGTTTCCTGGGAATGCTCCTGTCTCGCTTTTATGTGCAGTTATATCCTCTACTGCCATAGGCCTCAAAGCGGTCCAAATCTCCCCTTTCAGATTCTACCAAAAGTGTGTTTCCAAACGGCTCCATCAAAGGGAATGTTCAACTCTGTGACTTCAATGCAATCATCACAAAGCAGCTTCAGAGAATGCTTCCATGTAGCTTTGATGAGAAGATATTTCCTTTTCCACCCCAGGCCTCGAAGCCCTCCAAATGTCCCCTTGCAGATGCTAGAAAGAGGGGGTTTCAAAGCTGCTCTATCAAAAGGAAAGTACAACTCTGTGAGTTGAATGCAAACATCACAAGGAAATTCCTGAGCATGCTTCCGTTTAGCTTTTAGGGGAAGATTATCCCTTTTCCATCGAAATGGTCAAAGAGGTCCACATATCCGCTTGCAGATTCCACCGAAAGAGTGTTTCCAAACTGCTGCATCAAAAGGAATCCTCAGCTCCGTGAGTTGAATGCAATCATCACCAAGAAGTTTCTGACAATGCTTCTCTCTAGTTTTTATGTGAAGATATTTCCTTTTCCACCGCAGGCCTGAAAGCGCTCCAAATGTCCACTTGGAGGCTCTACGAAAAGAATGTTTCAAAACTGCTCTATGAAAAGCAATGTTATACTCTGGGAGTTGAACACAAGCCTCACAAAGGAGTTTCTGAGAATGCTTCTGTTTACTTTTTACGTGAGGATATTCCCGTTTCCAAAGAAGTCTTCACAGAGTTCCACCTATACATTTGCAGATGCTAGCAAAAGAGAGTTTCAAAACTGCTCCATCAAAAGGAATGTTTAACTCTGTGAGTTGCATGCAATCATCACAGAGAAGTTTCTGAGAAGGCTTCTGTCTAGATTTTACGTGAAGATATAGCCGTTTCGAACGAAGGCCACAAAGTGCTCCAAATATCCACTTGCAGGTCCTCCGAAAAGAGTGTTTCAAACGTGAACTACCAAAGGAAGGCTCAACTCTGGACTTTGAATGCCAACGTCAGAAAGATGTTTCTGCGAAAGCTTCTGTTTAGTTAGGTGACGTTATCCCGTCTCCAACGAAATCCTCAGAGAGGTCCAAATATCCACCTGCAGAGTCTACAAAAAGTGTGTTTCAAAACTGCTCCACCCAAAGGAATGTTCAGCTCTGTGAGTTGAACTCAATCATCCCAAAGTATTTTCTGAGAATGCTTCTGTCCAGTTTTTACATGAAGCTGTTTCCTTTACTACCGTAGGCCTCAAAGCGTTCCAAACCTCCACTTGCAGATACTACGAAAAGAGCGTTTCAACCTGAACTCACAAGGGAAGGTTCAACTCTGTCAGTTGAATGCCAACATCACCAAGAACTTCTGAGAATGTTCCTCTTCAGTTATGTGAGGTTTATCCCGTTTCCAACGAAATTCTCGGAGAAGTCCCAATATCCACTTGCATATACTACAAAACGTGTGTTTTGAAAATGCTCCATCAAAAGACCTGCTGAGCTCTGTGAGTTAAACTCAATCATCGCAAAGAATTTTCTGAGAATGCTTCTGTCTTGTTTTTAGATGAAGTTCTTTCCTTTACTACGACAGGCCTCAAAGAGGTCCAAATCTCCACTTGCAGATTCCGCAGAAGGAGTGTTTCAAACCTGAACTGTCAGAGAAAGGTTCAATACTGTGATTTGAAGGCAAGCATCACGAAGAAGGTTCTGAGAATGCTTCCGTTTACGTAGGTGAGTTCTCTCCCGTATCCAACGAAATCCTCAGAGCGGTCCGAATCTCCACTTGCAGATACTACACAAAGTGTGTTTGGAAACTGCTCCATCCAAAGGAATGTTCAGCTCCGTGAGTTGAACTCAATCGTCACAAAGTGTTTCCTGGGAATGCTACTGTCTCGTTTTTATGTGCAGTTATATCCTCTACTGCCATAGGCCTCAAAGCGGTCCAAATCTCCCCTTTCAGATTCTACCAAAAGTGTGTTTCCAAACGGCTCCATCAAAGGGAATGTTCAACTCGGTGACTTGAAAGCAATCATCACACAGCAGTTTCTGAGAATGCTTCCATGTAGCTTTGATGAGAAGATATTTCCTTTTCCACCCCAGGCCTCGAAGCCCTCCAAATGTCCCCTTGCCGATGCTAGAAAGAGGGGGTTTCAAAGCTGCTCTATCAAACGGAAAGTACAACTCTGTGAGTTGAATGCAAACATCACAAGGAAGTTCCTGAGCATGCTTCCGTTTAGCTTTTATGGGAAGATTATCCCTTTTCCATCGGAATGTTCAAAGAGGTCCACGTATCCGCTTGCAGATTCCACCGAAAGAGTGTTTCCAAACTGCTGCATCAAAAGGAATCCTCAGCTCCGTGAGTTGAATGCAATCATCACCAAGAAGTTTCTGACAATGCTTCTCTCTAGTTTTTATGTGAAGATATTTCCTTATCCACCACAGGCCTGAAAGGGCTCCAAATGTCCACATGGAGGCTCTACGAAAAGAATGTTTCAAAACTGCTCCATGAAAAGCAATGTTATACTCTGGGAGTTGAACACAAGCCTCACAACGGAGTTTCTGAGAATGCTTCTGTTTACTTTTTACGTGAGGATATTCCCGTTTCCAAAGAAGTCTCCACAGAGTTCCACCTATCCATTTGCAGATGCTAGCAAAAGAGAGTTTCAAAACTGCTCTATCAAAAGGAATGTTCAACTCTGTGAGTTGCATGCAATCATCACAGAGAAGTTTCTGAGAAGGCTTCTGTCTAGATTTTATGTGAAGATATAGCCGTTTCGAACGAAGGCCACAAAGTGCTCCAAATATCCACTTGCAGGTCCTCCAAAAAGAGTGTTTCAAACGTGAACTACCAAAGGAAGGCTCAACTCTGGACTTTGAATGCCAACGTCAGAAGGATGTTTCTGCGAAAGCTTCTGTTTAGTTAGGCGACGTTATCCCGTTTCCAACGAAATCCTCAGAGAGGTCCAAATATCCACCTGCAGAGTCTACAAAAAGTGTGTTTCAAAACTGCTCCACCCAAAGGAATGTTCAGCTCTGTGAGTTGAACTCAATCATCCCAAAGTATTTTCTGAGAATGCTTCTGTCCAGTTTTTACATGAAGCTGTTTCCTTTACTACCGTAGGCCTCAAAGCGTTCCAAATCTCCACTTGCAGATGCTACGAAAGGAGCGTTTCAACCTGAACTCACAAGGGAAGGTTCACCTCTGTCAGTTGAATGTCAACATCACAAAGAAGTTCTGAGAATGTTCCTCTTCAGTTATGTGAGGTTTATCCCGTTTCCAACGAAATTCTCAGAGAAGTCCCAATATCCACTTGCATATTCTACAAAACGTGTGTTTTGAAAATGCTCCATCAAAAGACCTGCTCAGCTCTGTGAGTTAAACTCAATCATCGCAAAGAATTTTCTGAGAATGCTTCCATCTTGTTTTTAGATGAAGTTCTTTCCTTTACTACGATAGGCCTCAAGGAGGTCCAAATCTCCAGTTGCAGATTCTGCAGAAGGAGTGTTTCAAACCTGAACTCTCAGAGAAAGGTTCAACACTGTGAGTTGAATGCAAGCATCACGAAGAAGGTTCTGAGAATGCTTCTGTTTACGTAGGTGACTTTTCTCCCTTATCCAACGAAATCCTCAGAGCGGTCCAAATCTGCACTTGCAGATTCTACACAAAGTGTGTTTGGAAACTGCTCCACCCAAAGGAATGTTCAGCTCTGTGAGTTGAACTCAATCGTCACAAAGCGTTTCCAGGGAATGCTCCTGTCTCGCTTTTATGTGCAGTTATATCCTCTACTGCCATAGGCCTCAAAGCGGTCCAAATCTCCCCTTTCAGATTCTACCAAAAGTGTGTTTCCAAACGGCCCCATCAAAGGGGATGTTCAACTCGGTGACTTGAATGCAATCATCACAAAGCAGCTTCTGAGAATGCTTCCATGTAGCTTTGATGAGAAGATATTTCCTTTTCCACCCCAGGCCTCGAAGCCCTCCAAATGTCCCCTTGCAGATGCTAGAAAGAGGGGGTTTCAAAGCTGCTCTATCAAAAGGAAAGTACAACTCTGTGAGTTGAATGCAAACATCACAAGGAAGTTCCTGAGCATGCTTCCGTTTAGCTTTTACGGGAAGATTATCCCTTTTCCATCGAAATGTTCAAAGAGGTCCACATATCCGCTTGCAGATTCCACCGAAAGAGTGTTTCCAAACTGCTGCATCCAAAGGAATCCTCAGCTCCGTGAGTTGAATGCAATCATCACCAAGAAGTTTCTGACAATGCTTCTCTCTAGTTTTTATGTGAAGATATTTCCTTTTCCACCGCAGGCCTGAAAGCGCTCCAAATGTCCACTTGGAGGCTCTACGAAAAGAATGTTTCAAAACTGCTCTATGAAAAGCAATGTTATACTCTGGGAGTTGAACACAAGCCTCACAAAGGAGTTTCTGAGAATGCTTCTGTTTACTTTTTACGTGAGGATATTCCCGTTTCCAAAGAAGTCTTCACAGAGTTCCACCTATCCATTTGCAGATGCTAGCAAAAGAGAGTTTCAAAACTGCTCCATCAAAAGGAATGTTCAACTCTGTGAGTTGCATGCAATCATCACAGAGAAGTTTCTGAGAAGGCTTCTGTCTAGATTTTATGTGAAGATATGGCCGTTTCGAACGAAGGCCACAAAGCGCTCCCAATATCCACTTGCAGGTCCTCCAAAAAGAGTGTTTCAAAGGTGAACTACCAAAGGAAGGCTCAAATCTGGACTTTGAATGCCAACGTCAGAAGGATGTTTCTGCGAAAGCTTCTGTTTAGTTAGGTGACGTTATCCCGTTTCCAACGAAATCCTCAGAGAGGTCCAAATATCCACCTGCAGAGTCTACAAAAAGTGTGTTTCAAAACTGCTCCACCCAAAGGAATGTTCAGCTCTGTGAGTTCAACTCAATCATCCCAAAGTATTTTCTGAGAATGCTTCTGTCCAGTTTTTACATGAAGCTGTTTCCTTTACTACCGTAGGCCTCAAAGCATTCCAAACCTCCACTTGCAGATACTACGAAAAGAGCGTTTCAACCTGAACTCACAAGGGAGGGTTCAACTCTGTCAGTTGAATGTCAACATCACCAAGAACTTCTGAGAATGTTCCTCTTCAGTTATGTGAGGTTTATCCCGTTTCCAACGAAATTCTCAGAGAAGTCCCAAAATCCACTTGCATATTCCACAAAAGGTGTGTTTGGAAATTGTGCCATCAAAAGATATGCTCAGCTCTGTGAGTTAAACTCAATCATTGCAAAGAATTTTCTGAGAATGCTTCCGTCTTGTTTTTAGATGAAGTTCTTTCCTTTACTACGATAGGCCTCAAAGAGGTCCAAATCTCCACTTGCAGATTCTACAGAAGGAGTGTTTCAAACCTGAACTGTCAGAGAAAGGTTCAACACTGTGAGTTGAATGCAAGCATCACGAAGAAGGTTCTGAGAATGCTTCTGTTTACGTATGTGACTTTTCTCCCGTATCCAACGAAACCCTCAGAGCGGTCCAAATCTCCACTTGCAGATTCTACACAAGGTGTGTTTGGAAACTGCTCCACCCAAAGGAATGTTCAGCTCTGTGAGTTGAACTCAATCGTCACAAAGCGTTTCCTGGGAATGCTCCTGTCTCGCTTTTATGTGCAGTTAAATCCTCTGCTGCCATAGGCCTCAAAGCGGTCCAAATCTCCCCTTTCAGATTCTACCAAAAGTGTGTTTCCAAACGGCCCCATCAAAGGGGATGTTCAACTCGGTGACTTGAATGCAATCTTCACAAAGCAGCTTCTGAGAATGCTTCCATGTAGCTTTGATGAGAAGATATTTCCTTTTCCACCCCAGGCCTCGAAGCCCTCCAAATGTCCCCTTGCAGATGCTAGAAAGAGGGGGTTTCAAAGCTGCTCTATCAAAAGGAAAGTACAACTCTGTGAGTTGAATGGAAACATCACAAGGAAGTTCCTGAGCATGCTTCCGTTTAGCTTTTACGGGAAGATTATCCCTTTTCCATCGGAATGTTCAAAGAGGTCCACATATCCGCTTGCAGCTTCCACCGAAAGAGTGTTTCCATACTGCTGCATCAAAAGGAATCCTCAGCTCCGTGAGTTGAATGCAATCATCACCAAGAAGATTCTGAGAATGCTTCTCTCTAGTTTTTATGTGAAGATATTTCCTTATCCACCACAGGCCTGAAAGGGCTCCAAATGTCCACTTGGAGGCTCTACGAAAAGAATGTTTCAAAACTGCTCCATGAAAAGCAATGTTATACTCTGGGAGTTGAACACAAGCCTCACAAAGGAGTTTCTGAGAATTCTTCTGTTTACTTTTTACGTGAGGATATTCCCGTTTCCAAAGAAGTCTTCACAGAATTCCACCTATCCATTTGCAGATGCTAGCAAAAGAGAGTTTCAAAACTGCTCTATCAAAAGGAATGTTCAACTCTGTGAGTTGCATGCAATCATCACAGAGAAGTTTCTGAGAAGGCTTCTGTCTAGATTTTATGTGAAGATATAGCCTTTTCGAACGAAGGCCACAAAGTGCTCCAAATATCCACTTGCAGGTCCTCCAGAAAGAGTGTTTCAAACGTGAACTACCAAAGGAAGGCTCAACTCTGGAGTTTGAATGCCAACGTCGGAAAGATGTTTCTGCGAAAGCTTCTGTTTAGTTCGGTGACGTTATCCCGTTTGCAACGAAATCCTCAGAGAGGTCCAAATATCCACCTGCAGAGTCTACAAAAAGTGTGTTTCAAAACTGCTCCACCCAAAGGAATGTTCAGCTCTGTGAGTTGAACTCAATCATCCCAAAGTATTTTCTGAGAATGCTTCTGTCCAGTTTTTACATGAAGCTGTTTCCTTTACTACCGTAGGCTTCAAAGCGTCCCAAACCTCCACTTGCAGATACTACGAAAAGAGCGTTTCAACCTGAACTCACAAGGGAAGGTTCAACTCTGTCAGTTGAATGCCAACATCACCAAGAATTTCTGAGAATGTTCCTCTTCAGTTATGTGAGGTTTATCCCGTTTCCAACGAAATTCTCAGAGAAGTCCCAAAATCCACTTGCATATTCTACAAAAGGTGTGTTTTCAAAATGCTCCATCAAAAGATATGCTCAGCTCTGTGTGTTAAACTCAATCATCACAACGAATTTTCTGAGAATGCTTCTGTCTTGTTTTTAGATGAGGTTATATCCTTTACTACGATAGGCCTCAAAGAGGTCCAAATCTCCACTTGCAGATTCTGCAGAAGGAGTGTTTAAAACCTGAACTATCAGAGAAAGGTTGAACACTGTGAGTTGAATGCAAGCATCACGAAGAAGGTTCTGAGAATGCTTCTGTCTTGTTTTTAGATGAAGTTCTTTCGTTTACTACGATAGGCCTCAAAGAGGTCCAAATCTCCACTTGCAGATTCTGCAGAAGGAGTGTTTCAAACCTGAACTATCAGAGAAAGGTTCAACACTGTGAGTTGAATGCAAGCATCACGAAGAAGGTTCTGAGAATGCTTCTGTTTACATAGGTGAGTTTTCTCCCGTATCCAACGAAATCCTCAGAGCGGTCCAAATCTCCACTTGCAGATTCTACACAAAGTGTGTTTGGAAACTGCTCCATCCAAAGGAATGTTCAGCTCTGTGAATTGAACTCAATCGTCACAAAGTGTTTCCTGGGAATGCTCCTGTCTCGTTTTTATGTGCAGTTATATCCTCTACTGCAATAGGCCCCAAAACGGTCCAAATCTCCCCTTTCAGTTTCTACCAAAAGTGTGTTTCCAAACGGCTCCATCAAAGGGAATGTTGACCTCGGTGACTTGAATGCAATCATCACAAAGCAGCTTCTGAGAATGCTTCCATGTAGCTTTGATGAGAAGATATTTCCTTTTCCACCCCAGGCCTCGAAGCCCTCCAAATGTCCCCTTGCAGATGCTAGAAAGAGAGGGTTTCAAAGCTGCTCTATCAAAAGGAAAGTACAACTCTGTGAGTTGAATGCAAACATCACAAACAAGTTCCTGAGCATGCTTCCGTTTAGCTTTTACGGGAAGATTATCCCTTTTCCATCGAAATGTTCAAAGAGGTCCACATATCCGCTTGCAGATTCCACCGAAAGAGTGTTTCCAAACTGCTGCATCAAAAGGAATCCTCAGCTCCGTGAGTTGAATGCAATCATCACCAAGAGGTTTCTGACAATGCTTCTCTCTAGTTTTTATGTGAAGATATTTCCTTTTCCAACACAGGCCTGAAAGCGTTCCAAATGTCCACCTGGACGCTCTACGAAAAGAATGTTTCAAAACTGCTCTATGAAAAGCAATGTTATACTCTGGGAGTTGAACACAAGCCTCACAAAGGAGTTTCTGAGAATGCTTCTGTTTACTTTTTACGTGAGGATATTCCCGTTTCCAAAGAAGTCTTCACAGAGTTCCACCTATCCATTTGCAGATGCCAGGAAAACTAGAGAGTTTCAAAACTGCTCTATCAAAAGGAATGTTCAACTCTGTGAGTTGCGGGCAATCATCACAGAGAAGATTCTGAGAAGGCTTCTGTCTAGATTTTATGTGAAGATATAGCCTTTTCGAACGAAGGCCACAAAGTGCTCCAAATATCCACTTGCAGGTCCTCCAAAAAGAGTGTTTCAAACGTGAACTACCAAAGGAAGGCTCAACTCTGGAGTTTGAATGCCAACGTCGGAAAGATGTTTCTGCGAAAGCTTCTGTTTAGTTAGGCGACGTTATCCCGTTTCCAACGAAATCCTCAGAGAGGTCCAAATATCCACCTGCAGAGTCTACAAAAAGTGTGTTTCAAAACTGCTCCACCCAAAGGAATGTTCAGCTCTGTGAGTTGAACTCAATCATCCCAAAGTAGTTTCTGAGAATGCTTCTGTCCAGTTTTTACATGAAGCTGTTTCCTTTACTACCGTAGGCCTCAAAGCGTTCCAAATCTCCACTTGCAGATGCTACGAAAAGAGCGTTTCAACCTGAACTCACAAGGGAAGGTTCACCTCTGTCAGTTGAATGTCAACATCACAAAGAAGTTCTGAGAATGTTCCTCTTCAGTTATGTGAGGTTTATCCCGTTTCCAACGAAATTCTCAGAGAAGTCCCAAAATCCACTGGCATATTCCACAAAAGGTGTGTTTGGAAATTGCGCCATCAAAAGATATGCTCAGCTCTGTGAGTTAAACTCAATCATCGCAAAGAATTTTCTGAGAATGCTTCCGTCTTGTTTTTAGATGAAGTTCTTTCCTTTACTACGATAGGCCTCAAGGAGGTCCAAATCTCCACTTGCAGATTCTGCAGAAGGAGTGTTTCAAACCTGAACTGTCAGAGAAAGGTTCAACACTGTGAGTTGAATGCAAGCATCACGAAGAAGGTTCTGAGAATGCTTCCGTTTACATAGGTGAGTTCTCTCCCATATCCAACGAAATCCTCAGTGCGGTCCGAATCTCCACTTGCAGATTCTACACAAAGTGTGTTTGGAAACTGCTCCATCCAAAGCAATGTTCAGCTCCGTGAGTTGAACTCTATCGTCACAAAGTGTTTCCTGGGAATGCTACTGTCTCGTTTTTATGTGCAGTTATATCCTCTACTGCCATAGGCCTCAAAGCGGTCCAAATCTCCCCTTTCAGATTCTACCGAAAGTGTGTTTCCAAACGGCTCCATCAAAGGGAATGTTCAGCTCGGTGACTTGAAAGCAATCATCACAAAGCAGCTTCTGAGAATGCTTCCATGTAGCTTTGATGAGAAGATATTTCCTTTTCCACCCCAGGCCTCGAAGCCCTCCAAATGTCCCCTTGCAGATGCTAGAAAGAGGGGGTTTCAAAGCTGCTCTATCAAAAGGAAAGTACAACTCTCTGAGTTGAATGCAAACATCACAAGGAAGTTCCTGAGCATGCTTCCGTTTAGCTTTTACGGGAAGATTATCCCTTTTCCATCGAAATGTTCAAAGAGGTCCACATATCGGCTTGCAGATTCCACCGAAAGAGTGTTTCCAAACTGCTGCATCAAAAGGAATCCTCAGCTCCGTGAGTTGAATGCAATCATCACCAAGAAGTTTCTGACAATGCTTCTCTCTAGTTTTTATGTGAAGATATTTCCTTTTCCACCGCAGGCCTGAAAGCGCTCCAAATGTCCACTTGGAGGCTCTACGAAAAGAATGTTTCAAAACTGCTCTATGAAAAGCAATGTTATACTCTGGGAGTTGAACACAAGCCTCACAAAGGAGTTTCTGAGAATGCTTCTGTTTACTTTTTACGTGAGGATATTCCCGTTTCCAAAGAAGTCTTCACAGAGTTCCACCTATACATTTGCAGATGCTAGCAAAAGAGAGTTTCAAAACTGCTCCATCAAAAGGAATGTTCAACTCTGTGAGTTGCATGCAATCATCACAGAGAAGTTTCTGAGAAGGCTTCTGTCTAGATTTTATGTGAAGATATGGCCGTTTCGAACGAAGGCCACAAAGCGCTCCCAATATCCACTTGCAGGTCCTCCAAAAAGAGTGTTTCAAACGTGAACTAACAAAGGAAGGCTCAACTCTGGACTTTGAATGCCAACGTCAGAAGGATGTTTCTGCGAAAGCTTCTGTTTAGTTAGGTGACGTTATCCCGTTTCCAACGAAATCCTCAGAGAGGTCCAAATATCCACCTGCAAAGTCTACAAAAAGTGTGTTTCAAAACTGCTCCACCCAAAGGAATGTTCAGCTCTGTGAGTTGAACTCAATCATCCCAAAGTATTTTCTGAGAATGCTTCTGTCCAGTTTTTACATGAAGCTGTTTCCTTTACTACCGTAGGCCTCAAAGCGTTCCAAACCTCCACTTGCAGATACTACGAAAAGAGCGTTTCAACCTGAACTCACAAGGGAAGGTTCAAGTCTGCCAGTTGAATGCCAACATCACCAAGAACTTCTGAGAATGTTCCTCTTCAGTTATGTGATGTTTATCCGGTTTCCAACGAAATTCTCAGAGAATTCCCAAAATCCACTTGCATATTCTACAAAAGGTGTGTTCTGAAAATGCGCCATCAAAAGATATGCTCCGCTCTGTGAGTTAAGCACAATCATCACAAAGAATTTTCTGAGAATGCTTCTGTCTTGTTTTTAGATGAAGTTCTTTCCTTTACTACGACAGGCCTCAAAGAGGTCCAAATCTCCACTTGCAGATTCTGCAGAAGGAGTGTTTCAAACCTGAACTGTCAGAGAAAGGTTCAACACTGTGAGTTGAATGCAAGCATCACGAAGAAGGTTCTGAGAATGCTTCCGTTTACATAGGTGAGTTCTCTCCCGTATCCAACGAAATCCTCAGAGCGGTCCGAATCTCCACTTGCAGATTCTACACAAAGTGTGTTTGGAAACTGCTCCATCCAAAGGAATGTTCAGCTCCGTGAGTTGAACTCAATCGTCACAAAGTGTTTCCTGGGAATGCTACTGTCTCGTTTTTATGTGCAGTTATATCCTCTACTGCCATAGGCCTCAAAGCGGTCCAAATCTCCCCTTTCAGATTCTACCAAAAGTGTGTTTCCAAACGGCTCCATCAAAGGGAATGTTCAGCTCGGTGACTTGAAAGCAATCATCACAAAGCAGCTTCTGAGAATGCTTCCATGTATCTTTGATGAGAAGATATTTCCTTTTCCACCCCAGGCCTCGAAGCCCTCCAAATGTCCCCTTGCAGATGCTAGAAAGGGAGGGTTTCAAAGCTGCTCTATCAAAAGGAAAGTACAACACTGCGAGTTGAATGCAAACATCACAAAGAAGTTCCTGAGCATGCTTCCGTTTAGCTTTTACGGGAAGATTATCCCTTTTCCATCGGAATGTTCAAAGAGGTCCACATATCCGCTTGCAGCTTCCACCGAAAGAGTGTTTCCATACTGCTGCATCAAAAGGAATCCTCAGCTCCGTGAGTTGAATGCAATCATCACCAAGAAGATTCTGAGAATGCTTCTCTCTAGTTTTTATGTGAAGATATTTCCTTTTCCACCGCAGGCCTGAAAGTGCTCCAAATGTCCACTTGGAGGCTCTACGAAAAGAATGTTTCAAAACTGCTCTATGAAAAGCAATGTTATACTCTGGGAGTTGAACACAAGCCTCACAAAGGAGTTTCTGAGAATGCTTCTGTTTACTTTTTACGTGAGGATATTCCCGTTTCCAAAGAAGTCTTCACAGAGTTCCACCTATCCATTTGCAGATGCTAGCAAAAGAGAGTTTCAAAACTGCTCCATCAAAAGGAATGTTCAACTCTGTGAGTTGCATGCAATCATCACAGAGAAGTTTCTGAGAAGGCTTCTGTCTAGATTTTATGTGAAGATATAGCCGTTTCGAACGAAGGCCACAAAGTGCTCCAAATATCCACTTGCAGGTCCTCCAAAAAGAGTGTTTCAAACGTTAACTACCAAAGGAAGGCTCAACTCTGGACTTTGAAGGCCAACGTCAGAAGGATGTTTCTGCAAAAGCTTCTGTTTAGTTAGGTGACGTTATCCCGTCTCCAACGAAATCCTCAGAGAGGTCCAAATATCCACCTGCAGAGTCTACAAAAAGTGTGTTTCAAAACTGCTCCACCCAAAGGAATGTTCAGCTCTGTGAGTTGAACTGAATCATCCCAAAGTATTTTCAGACAATGCTTCTGTCCACTTTTTACATGAAGCTGTTTCCTTTACTACCGCAGGCCTGAAAGCGTTCCAAACCTCCACTTGCAGATACTACGAAAAGAGCGTTTCAACCTGAACTCACAAGGGAAGTTTCACCTCTGTCAGTTGAATGCCAACATCACCAAGAACTTCTGAGAATGTTCCTCTTCAGTTACGTGAGGTTTATCCCGTTTCCAACGAAATTCTCAGAGAAGTCCCAAAATCCACTTGCATATTCCACAAAAGGTGTGTTTGGAAAATGCGCCATCAAAAGATATGCTCAGCTCTGTGAGTTAAACTCAATCATCGCAAAGAATTTTCTGAGAATGCTTCCGTCTTGTTTTTAGATGAAGTTCTTTCCTTTACTATGATAGGCCTCAAGGAGGTCCAAATCTCCACTTGCAGATTCTGCAGAAGGAGTGTTTCAAACCTTAACTGTCAGAGAAAGGTTCAACACTGTGAGTTGAATGCAAGCATCACGAAGAAGGTTCTGAGAATGCTTCTGTTTACGTAGGTGACTTTTCTCCCGTATCCAACGAAATCCTCAGAGCGGTCCAAATCTCCACTTGCAGATTCTACACAAAGTGTGTTTGGAAACTTCTCCACCCAAAGGAATGTTCAGCTCTGTGAGTTGAACTCAATCGTCACAAAGCGTTTCCTGGGAATGCTCCTGTCTCGCTTTTATGTGCAGTTATATCCTCTACTGCCATAGGCCTCAAAGCGGTCCAAATCTCCCCTTCCAGATTCTACCAAAAGTGTGTTTCCAAACGGCCCCATCAAAGGGGATGTTCAACCCGGTGACTTGAATGCAATCATCACAAAGCAGCTTCTGAGAATGCTTCCATGTAGCTTTGATGAGAAGATATTTCCTTTTCCACCCCAGGCCTCGAAGCCCTCCAAATGTCCCCTTGCAGATGCTAGAAAGAGGGGGTTTCAAAGCTGCTCTATCAAAAGGAAAGTACAACTCTGTGAGTTGAATGCAAACATCACAAGGAAGTTCCTGAGCATGCTTCCGTTTAGCTTTTACGGGAAGATTATCCCTTTTCCATCGAAATGTTCAAAGAGGTCCACATATCCGCTTGCAGATTCCACCGAAAGAGTGTTTCCAAACTGCTGCATCAAAAGGAATCCTCAGCTCCGTGAGTTGAATTCAATCATCACCAAGAAGTTTCTGACAATGCTTCTCTCTAGTTTTTATGTGAAGATATTTCCTTTTCCACCACAGGCCTGAAAGCGCTCCAAATGTCCACTTGGAGGCTCTACGAAAAGAATGTTTCAAAACTGCTCTATGAAAAGCAATGTTATACTCTGGGAGTTGAACACAAGCCTCACAAAGGAGTTTCTGAGAATGCTTCTGTTTACTTTTTACGTGAGGATATTCCCGTTTCCAAAGAAGTCTTCACAGAGTTCCACCTATCCATTTGCAGATGCTAGCAAAAGAGAGTTTCAAAACTGCTCTATCAAAAGGAATGTTCAACTCTGTGAGTTGCATGCAATCATCACAGAGAAGTTTCTGAGAAGGCTTCTGTCTAGATTTTATGTGAAGATATAGCTGTTTCGAACGAAGACCACAATGTGCTCCAATATCCACTTGCAGGTCCTCCAAAAAGAGTGTTTCAAACGTGAACTACCAAAGGAAGGCTCAACTGTGGACTTTGAATGCCAACGTCAGAAAGATGTTTCTGCGAAAGCTTCTGTTTAGTTAGGTGACGTTATCCCGTTTCCAACGAAATCCTTAGAGAGGTCCAAATATCCACCAGCAGAGTCTACAAAAAGTGTGTTTCAAAACTGCTCCACCCAAAGGAATGTTCAGCTCTGTGAGTTGAACTCAATCATCCCAAAGTATTTCCTGAGAATGCTTCTGTCCAGTTTTTACGTGAAGCTGTTTCCTTTACTACCGTAGGCCTCAAAGCGTTCCAAATCTCCACTTGCAGATGCTACGAAAAGAGCGTTTCAACCTGAACTCACAAGGGAAGGTTCACCACTGTCAGTTGAATGTCAACATCACAAAGAAGTTCTGAGAATGTTCCTCTTCAGTTATGTGAGGTTTATCCCGTTTCCAACGAAATTCTCGGAGAAGTCCCAATATCCACTTGCATATACTACAAAACGTGTGTTTTGAAAATGCTCCATCAAAAGACCTGCTGAGCTCTGTGAGTTAAACTCAATCATCGCAAAGAATTTTCTGAGAATGCTTCTGTCTTGTTTTTAGATGAAGTTCTTTCCTTTACTACGACAGGCCTCAAAGAGGTCCAAATCTCCACTTGCAGATTCTGCAGAAGGAGTGTTTCAAACCTGAACTGTCAGAGAAAGGTTCAATACTGTGATTTGAAGGCAAGCATCACGAAGAAGGTTCTGAGAATGCTTCTGTTTACATAGGTGACTTTTCTCCCGTATCCAACGAAATCCTCAGAGCGGTCCAAATCTCCACTTGAAGATTCTACACAAAGTGTGTTTGGAAACTGCTCCACCCAAAGGAATGTTCAGCTCTGTGAGTTGAACTCAATGGTCACAAAGCGTTTCCTGGGAATGCTCCTGTCTCGCTTTTATGTGCAGTTATATCCTCTACTGCCATAGGCCTCAAAGCGGTCCAAATCTCCCCTTTCAGATTCTACCAAAAGTGTGTTTCCAAACGGCCCCATCAAAGGGGATGTTCAACTCGGTGACTTGAATGCAATCATCACAAAGCAGCTTCTGAGAATGCTTCCATGTAGCTTTGATGAGAAGATATTTCCTTTTCCACCCCAGGCCTCGAAGCCCTCCAAATGTCCCCTTGCAGATGCTAGAAAGAGGGGGTTTCAAAGCTGCTCTATCAAAAGGAAAGTACAACTCTGTGAGTTGAATGCAAACATCACAAGGAAGTTCCTGAGCATGCTTCCGTTTAGCTTTTACGGGAAGATTATCCCTTTTCCATCGAAATGTTCAAAGAGGTCCACATATCCGCTTGCAGATTCCACACAAAGAGTGTTTCCAAACTGCTGCATCCAAAGGAATCCTCAGCTCCGTGAGTTGAATGCAATCATCACCAAGAAGTTTCTGACAATGCTTCTCTCTAGTTTTTATGTGAAGATATTTCCTTTTCCACCGCAGGCCTGAAAGCGCTCCAAATGTCCACTTGGAGGCTCTACGAAAAGAATGTTTCAAAACTGCTCTATGAAAAGCAATGTTATACTCCTGGAGTTGAACACAAGCCTCACAAAGGAGTTTCTGAGAATGCTTCTGTTTACTTTTTACGTGAGGATATTCCCGTTTCCAAAGAAGTCTTCACAGAGTTCCACCTATACATTTGCAGATGCTAGCAAAAGAGAGTTTCAAAACTGCTCCATCAAAAGGAATGTTTAACTCTGTGAGTTGCATGCAATCATCACAGAGAAGTTTCTGAGAAGGCTTCTGTCTAGATTTTATGTGAAGATATGGCCGTTTCGAACGAAGGCCACAAAGTGCTCCCAATATCCACTTGCAGGTCCTCCAAAAAGAGTGTTTCAAACGTGAACTACCAAAGGAAGGCTCAACTCTGGACTTTGAATGCCAACGTCGAAGGATGTTTCTGCGAAAGCTTCTGTTTAGTTAGGTGACGTTATCCCGTCTCCAACGAAATCCTCAGAGAGGTCCAAATATCCACCTGCAGAGTCTACAAAAAGTGTGTTTCAAAACTGCTCCACCCAAAGGAATGTTCAGCTCTGTGAGTTGAACTCAATCATCCCAAAGTATTTTCTGAGAATGCTTCTGTCCAGTTTTTACATGAAGCTGTTTCCTTTACTACCGTAGGCCTCAAAGCGTTCCAAACCTCCACTTGCAGATACTACGAAAAGAGCGTTTCAACCTGAACTCACAAGGGAAGGTTCAACTCTGTCAGTTGAATGCCAACATCACCAAGAACTTCTGAGAATGTTCCTCTTCAGTTACGTGAGGTTTATCCCGTTTCCAACGAAATTCTCAGAGAAGTCCCAAAATCCACTTGCATATTCCACAAAAGGTGTGTTTGGAAAATGCGCCATCAAAAGATATGCTCAGCTCTGTGAGTTAAACTCAATCATCGCAAAGAATTTTCTGAGAATGCTTCCGTCTTGTTTTCAGATGAAGTTCTTTCCTTTACTACGATAGGCCTCAAGGAGGTCCAAATCTCCACTTGCAGATTCTGCAGAAGGAGTGTTTCAAACCTGAACTGTCAGAGAAAAGTTCAACACTGTGAGTTGAATGCAAGCATCACGAAGAAGGTTCTGAGAATGCTTCTGTTTACGTAGGTGACTTTTCTCCCGTATCCAACGAAATCCTCAGAGCGGTCCAAATCTCCACTTGCAGATTCTACACAAAGTGTGTTTGGAAACTGCTTCACCCAAAGGAATGTTCAGCTCTGTGAGTTGAACTCAATCGTCACAAAGCGTTTACCTGGGAATGCTCCCTGTGTCGCTTTTATGTGCAGTTATATCCTCTACTGCCATAGGCCTCAAAGCGGTCCAAATCTCCCCTTTCAGATCCTACCAAAAGTGTGTTTCCAAACGGCTCCATCAAAGGGAATGTTCAACTCGGTGACTTGAATGCAATCATCCCAAAGCAGCTTCTGAGAATGCTTCCATGTAGCTTTGATGAGAAGATATTTCCTTTTCCACCCCAGGCCTCGAAGCCCTCCAAATGTCCCCTTGCAGATGCTAGAAAGAGGGGGTTTCAAAGCTGCTCTATCAAAAGGAAAGTACAACGCTGTGAGTTGAATGCAAACATCACAAGGAAGTTCCTGAGCATGCTTCCGTTTAGCTTTTACGGGAAGATTATCCCTTTTCCATAGAAATGTTCAAAGAGGTCCACATATCCGCTTGCAGATTCCACCGAAAGAGTGTTTCCAAACTGCTGCATCAAAAGGAATCCTCAGCTCCGTGAGTTGAATGCAATCATCACCAAGAAGTTTCTGACAATGCTTCTCTCTAGCTTTTATGTGAAGATATTTCCTTTTCCACCGCAGGCCTGAAAGCGCTCCAAATGTCCACTTGGAGGCTCTACTAAAAGAATGTTTCAAAACTGCTCTATGAAAAGCAATGTTATACTCTGGGAGTTGAACACAAGCCTCACAAAGGAGTTTCTGAGAATGCTTCTGTTTACTTTTTACGTGAGGATATTCCCATTTCCAAAGAAGTCTTCACAGAGTTCCACCTATCCATTTGCAGATGCTAGCAAAAGAGAGTTTCAAAACTGCTCTATCAAAAGGAATGTTCAACTCTGTGAGTTGCATGCAATCATCACAGAGAAGTTTCTGAGAAGGCTTCTTTCTAGATTTTATGTGAAGATATAGCCGTTTCGAATGAAGGCCACAAAGTGCTCCAAATATCCACTTGCAGGACTTCCAAAAAGAGTGTTTCAAACGTGAACTACCAAAGGAAGGCTCAACTCTGGACTTTGAATGCCAACGTCAGAAAGATGTTTCTGCGAAAACTTCTGTTTAGTTAGGCGACGTTATCTCGTTTCCAACGAAATCCTAGGAGAGGTCCAAATATCCACCAGCAGAGTCTGCAAAAAGTGTGTTTCAAAACTGCTCCACCCAAAGGAATATTCAGCTCTGTGAGTTGAACTCAATCATCCCAAAGTATTTCCTGAGAATGCTTCTGTCCAGTTTTTACATGAGGCTGTTTCCTTTACTACCGTAGGCCTCAAAGCGTTCCAAATCTCCACTTGCAGATGCTACGAAAAGAGCGTTTCAACCTGAACTCACAAGGGAAGGTTCACCTCTGTCAGTTGAATGTCAACATCACAAAGAAGTTCTGAGAATGTTCCTCTTCAGTTATGTGAGGTTTATCCCGTTTCCAACGAAATTCTCAGAGAAGTCCCAATATCCACTTGCATATTCTACAAAACGTGTGTTTTGAAAATGCTCCATCAAAAGACCTGCTCAGCTCTGTGAGTTAAACTCAATCATCGCAAAGAATTTTCTGAGAATGCTTCTGTCTTGTTTTTAGATGAAGTTCTTTCCTTTACTACGACAGGCTTCAAAGAGGTCCAAATCTCCACTTGCAGATTCTGCAGAAGGAGTGTTTCAAACCTGAACTGTCAGAGAAAGGTTCAACACTGTGAGTTGAATGCAAGCATCACGAAGAAGGTTCTGAGAATGCTTCCGTTTACGTAGGTGAGTTCTCTCCCGTATCCAATGAAATCCTCAGAGCGGTCCGAATCTCCACTTGCAGATTCTACACAAAGTGTGTTTGGAAACTGCTCCATCCAAAGGAATGTTCAGCTCCGTGAGGTGAACTCAATCGTCACAAAGTGTTTCCTGGGAATGCTACTGTCTCGTTTTTATGTGCAGTTATATCCTCTACTGCCATAGGCCTCAAAGCGGTCCAAATCTCCCCTTTCAGATTCTACCAAAAGTGTGTTTCCCAACGGCTCCATCAAAGGGAATGTTCAGCTCGGTGACTTGAAAGCAATCATCACAAAGCAGCTTCTGAGAATGCTTCCATGTAGCTTTGATGAGAAGATATTTCCTTTTCCACCCCAGGCCTCGAAGCCCTCCAAATGTCCCCTTGCAGATGCTAGAAAGAGAGGGTTTCAAAGCTGCTCTATCAAAAGGAAAGTACAACTCTGCGAGTTGAATGCAAACATCACAAAGAAGTTCCTGAGCATGCTTCTGTTTAGCTTTTACGGGAAGATTATCCCTTTTCCATCAGAATGTTCAAAGAGGTCCACATATCCGCTTGCAGATTCCACCGAAAGAGTGTTTCCAAACTGCTGCATCAAAAGGAATCCTCAGCTCCGTGAGTTGAATGCAATCATCACCAAGAGGATTCTGAGAATGCTTCTCTCTAGTTTTTATGTGAAGATATTTCCTTAACCACCACAGGCCTGAAAGGGCTCCAAATGTCCACTTGGAGGCTCTATGAAAAGAATGTTTCAAAACTGCTCCATGAAAAGCAATGTTATACTCTGGGAGTTGAACACAAGCCTCACAAAGGAGTTTCTGAGATTGCTTCTGTTTACTTTTTACGTGAGGATATTCCCGTTTCCAAAGAAGTCTTCACAGAGTTCCACCTATCCATTTGCAGATGCTAGCAAAAGAGAGTTTCAAAACTGCTCTATCAAAAGGAATGTTCAACTCTGTGAGTTGCATGCAATCATCACAGAGAAGTTTCTGAGAAGGCTTCTGTCTAGATTTTATGTGAAGATATAGCTGTTTCGAACGAAGACCACAATGTGCTCCAATATCCACTTGCAGGTCCTCCAAAAAGAGTGTTTCAAACGTGAACTACCAAAGGAAGGCTCAACTGTGGACTTTGAATGCCAACGTCAGAAAGATGTTTCTGCGAAAGCTTCTGTTTAGTTAGGTGACGTTATCCCGTTTCCAACGAAATCCTCAGAGAGGTCCAAATATCCACCAGCAGAGTCTACAAAAAGTGTGTTTCAAAACTGCTCCACCCAAAGGAATGTTCAGCTCTGTGAGTTGAACTCAATCATCCCAAAGTATTTCCTGAGAATGCTTCTGTCCAGTTTTTACGTGAAGCTGTTTCCTTTACTACCGTAGGCCTCAAAGCGTTCCAAATCTCCACTTGCAGATGCTACGAAAAGAGCGTTTCAACCTGAACTCACAAGGGAAGGTTCACCACTGTCAGTTGAATGTCAACATCACAAAGAAGTTCTGAGAATGTTCCTCTTCAGTTATGTGAGGTTTATCCCGTTTCCAACGAAATTCTCGGAGAAGTCCCAATATCCACTTGCATATACTACAAAACGTGTGTTTTGAAAATGCTCCATCAAAAGACCTGCTGAGCTCTGTGAGTTAAACTCAATCATCGCAAAGAATTTTCTGAGAATGCTTCTGTCTTGTTTTTAGATGAAGTTCTTTCCTTTACTACGACAGGCCTCAAAGAGGTCCAAATCTCCACTTGCAGATTCTGCAGAAGGAGTGTTTCAAACCTGAACTGTCAGAGAAAGGTTCAATACTGTGATTTGAAGGCAAGCATCACGAAGAAGGTTCTGAGAATGCTTCCGTTTACGTAGGTGAGTTCTCTCCCGTATCCAACGAAATCCTCAGAGCGGTCCGAATCTCCACTTGCAGATACTACACAAAGTGTGTTTGGAAACTGCTCCATCCAAAGGAATGTTCAGCTCCGTGAGTTGAACTCAATCGTCACAAAGTGTTTCCTGGGAATGCTACTGTCTCGTTTTTATGTGCAGTTATATCCTCTACTGCCATAGGCCTCAAAGCGGTCCAAATCTCCCCTTTCAGATTCTACCAAAAGTGTGTTTCCAAACGGCTCCATCAAAGGGAATGTTCAACTCGGTGACTTGAAAGCAATCATCACACAGCAGTTTCTGAGAATGCTTCCATGTATCTTTGATGAGAAGATATTTCCTTTTCCACCCCAGGCCTCGAAGCCCTCCAAATGTCCCCTTGCAGATGCTAGAAAGGGAGGGTTTCAAAGCTGCTCTATCAAAAGGAAAGTACAACACTGCGAGTTGAATGCAAACATCACAAAGAAGTTCCTGAGCATGCTTCCGTTTAGCTTTTACGGGAAGATTATCCCTTTTCCATCGGAATGTTCAAAGAGGTCCACATATCCGCTTGCAGCTTCCACCGAAAGAGTGTTTCCATACTGCTGCATCAAAAGGAATCCTCAGCTCCGTGAGTTGAATGCAATCATCACCAAGAAGATTCTGAGAATGCTTCTCTCTAGTTTTTATGTGAAGATATTTCCTTATCCACCACAGGCCTGAAAGGGCTCCAAATGTCCACTTGGAGGCTCTACGAAAAGAATGTTTCAAAACTGCTCCATGAAAAGCAATGTTATACTCTGGGAGTTGAACACAAGCCTCACAAAGGAGTTTCTGAGAATTCTTCTGTTTAATTTTCACATGAGGATATTCCCGTTTCCAAAGAAGTCTTCACAGAGTTCCACCTATCCATTTGCAGATGCTAGCAAAAGAGAGTTTCAAAACTGCTCTATCAAAAGGAATGTTCAACTCTGTGAGTTGCATGCAATCATCACAGAGAAGTTTCTGAGAAGGCTTCTGTCTAGATTTTATGTGAAGATATAGCCGTTTTGAACGAAGGCCACAAAGTGCTCCAATATCCACTTGCAGGTCCTCCAAAAAGAGTGTTTCAAACGTGAACTACCAAAGGAAGGCTCAACTCTGGACTTTGAATGCCAACGTCAGAAAGATGTTTCTGCGAAAGCTTCTGTTTAGTTAGGCAACGTTATCCCGTTTCCAACGAAATCCTCAGAGAGTTCCAAATATCCACCGGCAGAGTCTACAAAAAGTGTTTTTCAAAACTGCTCCACCCAAAGGAATGTTCAGCTCTGTGAGTTGAACTCAATCATCCCAAAGTATTTCCTGAGAATGCTTCTGTCCAGATTTTACATGAAGCTGTTTCCTTTACTACCGTAGGCCTCAAAGCATTCCAAATCTCCACTTGCAGATACTACGAAAAGAGCGTTTCAACCTGAACACAGAAGGGAAGGTTCAACTCTGTCAGTTGAATGCCAACATCACAAAGAAGTTCTGGGAATGTTCCTCTTCAGTTATGTGAGGTTTATCCCGTTTCCAACGAAATTCTCAGAGAAGTCCCAAAATCCACTGGCATATTCCACAAAAGGTGTGTTTGGAAATTGCGCCATCAAAAGATATGCTCAGCTCTGTGAGTTAAACTCAATCATCGCAAAGAATTTTCTGAGAATGCTTCCGTCTTGTTTTTAGATGAAGTTCTTTCCTTTACTACGATAGGCCTCAAGGAGGTCCAAATCTCCACTTGCAGATTCTGCAGAAGGAGTGTTTCAAACCTGAACTGTCAGAGAAAGGTTCAACACTGTGAGTTGAATGCAAGCATCACGAAGAAGGTTCTGAGAATGCTTCTGTTTACGTAGGTGACTTTTCTCCCGTATCCAACGAAATCCTCAGAGCGGTCCAAATCTCCACTTGCAGATTCTACACAAAGTGTTTTTGGAAACTGCTCCACCCAAAGGAATGTTCAGCTCTGTGAGTTGAACTCAATCGTCACAAAGCGTTTCCTGGGAATGCTCCTGTCTCGCTTTTATGTGCAGTTATAACCTCTACTGCCATAGGCCTCAAAGCGGTCCAAATCTCCCCTTCCAGATTCTACCAAAAGTGTGTTTCCAAACGGCCCCATCAAAGGGGATGTTCAACCCGGTGACTTGAATGCAATCATCACAAAGCAGCTTCTGAGAATGCTTCCATGTAGCTTTGATGAGAAGATATTTCCTTTTCCACCCCAGGCCTCGAAGCCCTCCAAATGTCCCCTTGCAGATGCTAGAAAGAGGGGGTTTCAAAGCTGCTCTATCAAAAGGAAAGTACAACTCTGTGAGTTGAATGCAAACATCACAAGGAAGTTCCTGAGCATGCTTCCGTTTAGCTTTTACGGGAAGATTATCCCTTTTCCATCGAAATGTTCAAAGAGGTCCACATATCCGCTTGCAGATTCCACCGAAAGAGTGTTTCCAAACTGCTGCATCAAAGCGAATCCTCAGCTCCGTGAGTTGAATGCAATCATCACCAAGAAGTTTCTGACAATGCTTCTCTCTAGTTTTTATGTGAAGATATTTCCTTTTCCACCGCAGGCCTGAAAGCGCTCAAATGTCCACTTGGAGGCTCTACGAAAAGAATGTTTCAAAACTGCTCTATGAAAAGAAATGTTATACTCTGGGAGTTGAACACAAGCCTCACAAAGGAGTTACTGAGAATGCTTCTGTTTACTTTTTACGTGAGGATATTCCCGTTTCCAAAGAAGTCTTCACAGAGTTCCACCTATCCATTTGCAGATGCTAGCAAAAGAGAGTTTCAAAACTGCTCCATCAAAAGGAATGTTCAACTCTGTGAGTTGCATGCAATCATCACAGAGAAGTTTCTGAGAAGGCTTCTGTCTAGATTTTATGTGAAGGTATAGCCGTTTCGAATGAAGGCCACAAAGTGCTCCAAATATCCACTTGCAGGTCCTCCAAAAAGAGTGTTTCAAACGTGAACTACCAAAGGAAGGCTCAACTCTGGACTTTGAAGGCCAACGTCAGAAGGATGTTTCTGCGAAAGCTTCTGTTTAGTTAGGTGACGTTATCCCGTTTCCAACGAAATCCTCAGAGAGGTCCAAATATCCACCTGCAGAGCCTACAAAAAGTGTGTTTCCAAACTGCTCCACCCAAAGGAATGTTCAGCTCTGTGAGTTGAACTCAATCATCCCAAAGTATTTTCTGAGAATGCTTCTGTCCAGTGTTTACATGAAGCTGTTTCCTTTACTACCGTAGGCCTCAAAGCGTTCCAAACCTCCACTTGCAGATACTACGAAAAGAGCGTTTCAACCTGAACTCACAAGGGAAGGTTCAACTCTGTCAGTTGAATGCCAACATCACCAAGAACTTCTGAGAATGTTCCTCTTCAGTTACGTGAGGTTTATCCCGTTTCCAACGAAATTCTCAGAGAAGTCCCAAAATCCACTTGCATATTCCACAAAAGGTGTGTTTGGAAAATGCGCCATCAAAAGATATGCTCAGCTCTGTGAGTTAAACTCAATCATCGCAAAGAATTTTCTGAGAATGCTTCCGTCTTGTTTTTAGATGAAGTTATTTCCTTTACTACGATAGGCCTCAAAGAGGTCCAAACCTCCACTTGCAGATTCTGCAGAAGGAGTGTTTCAAACCTGAACTGTCAGAGAAAGGTTCAACACTGTGAGTTGAATGCAAGCATCACGAAGAAGGTTCTGAGAATGCTTCTGTTTACGTAGGTGACTTTTCTGCCGTATCCAGCGAAATCATCAGAGCGGTCCAAATCTCCACTTGCAGATTCTACACAAAGTGTGTTTGCAAACTGCTCCACCCAAAGGAATGTTCAGCTCTGTGAGTTGAACTCAATGGTCACAAAGCATTTCCTGGGAATCCTCCTGTCTCGCTTTTATGTGCAGTTATATCCTCTACTGCCATAGGCCTCAAAGCGGTCCAAATCTCCCCTTTCAGATTCTACCAAAAGTGTGTTTCCAAACGGCCCCATCAAAGGGGATGTTCAACTCGGTGACTTGAATGCAATCATCACAAAGCAGCTTCTGAGAATGCTTCCATGTAGCTTTGATGAGAAGATATTTCCTTTTCCACCCCAGGCCTCGAAGCCCTCCAAATGTCCCCTTGCAGATGCTAGAAAGAGGGGGTTTCAAAGCTGCTCTATCAGAAGGAAAGTACAACTCTGTGAGTTGAATGCAAACATCACAAGGAAGTTCCTGAGCATGCTTCCGTTTAGCTTTTACGGGAAGATTATCCCTTTTCCATCGAAATGTTCAAAGAGGTCCACATATCCGCTTGCAGATTCCACCGAAAGAGTGTTTCCAAACTGCTGCATCCAAAGGAATCCTCAGCTCCGTGAGTTGAATGCAATCATCACCAAGAAGTTTGTGACAATGCTTCTCTCTAGTTTTTATGTGAAGATATTTCCTTTTCCACCGCAGGCCTGAAAGCGCTCCAAATGTCCACTTGGAGGCTCTACGAAAAGAATGTTTCAAAACTGCTCTATGAAGAGCCAAGTTATACTCTGGGAGTTGAACACAAGCCTCACAAAGGAGTTTCTGAGAATGCTTCTGTTTACTTTTTACGTGGGGATATTCCCGTTTCCAAAGAAGTCTTCACAGAGTTCCACCTATCCATTTGCAGATGCCAGCAAAACTAGAGAGTTTCAAAACTGCTCTATCAAAAGGAATGTTCACCTCTGTCAGTTGCGTGCAATCATCACAGAGAAGTTTCTGAGAAGGCTTCTGTCTAGATTTTATGTGAAGATATAGCCGATTCGAATGAAGGCCACAAAGTGCTCCAAATATCCACTTGCAGGTCCTCCAAAAAGAGTGTTTCAAACGTGAACTACCAAAGGAAGGCTCAACTCGGGACTTTGAAGGCCAACGTCAGAAGGATGTTTTTGCGGAAGCTTCTGTTTAGTTAGGTGACGTTATCCCGTTTCCAACGAAATCCTCAGAGAGGTCCAAATATCCACCTGCAGAGTCTACAAAAAGTGTGTTTCAAAACTGCTCCACCCAAAGGAATGTTCAGCTCTGTGAGTTGAACTCAATCATCCCAAAGTATTTTCTGAGAAGGCTTCTGTCCAGTTTTTACATGAAGCTGTTTCCTTTACTACTGTAGGCCTCAAAGCGTTCCAAACCTCCACTTGCAGATACTACGAAAAGAGCGTTTCAACCTGAACTCACAAGGGAAGGTTCAACTCTGTCAGTTGAATGCCAACGTTACCAAGAACTTCTGAGAATGTTCCTCTTCAGTTATGTGAGGTTTATCCCGTTTCCCACGAAATTCTCAGAGAAGTCCCTAAATCCACTTGCATATTCCACAAAAGGTGTGTTTGTAAAATGCGCCATCAAAAGATATGCTCAGCTCTGTGAGTTAAACTCAATCATCGCAAAGAATTTTCTGAGAATGCTTCCGTCTTGTTTTTAGATGAAGTTCTTTCCTTTACTACGACAGGCCTCAAAGAGGTCCAAATCTCCACTGGCAGATTCTGCAGAAGGAGTGTTTCAAACCTGAACTGTCAGAGAAAGGTTCAACACTGTGAGTTGAATGCAAGCATCACGAAGAAGGTTCTGAGAATGCTTCTGTTTACGTAGGTGACTTTTCTCCCGTATCCAGCGAAATCCTCAGAGCGGTCCAAATCTCCACTTGCAGATTCTACACAAAGTGTGTTTGGAAACTGCTCCACCCAAAGGAATGTTCAGTTCTGTGAGTTGAACTCAATCGTCACAAAGCGTTTCCTGGGAATGCTCCTGTCTCGCTTTTATGTGCGGTTATATCCTCTACTGCCATAGGCCTCAAAGCGGTCCAAATCTCCCCTTTCAGATTCTACCAGAAGTGTGTTTCCAAACGGCCCCATCAAAGGGGATGTTCAACTCGGTGATTTGAATGCAATCATCACAAAGCAGCTTCTGAGAATGCTTCCATGTAGCTTTGATGAGAAGATATTTCCTTTTCCACCCCAGGCCTCGAAGCCCTCCAAATGTCCCCTTGCCGATGCTAGAAAGAGGGGGTTTCAAAGCTGCTCTATCAAAAGGAAAGTACAACTCTGTGAGTTGAATGCAAACATCACAAGGAAGTTCCTGAGCATGCTTCCGTTTAGCTTTTACGGGAAGATTATCCCTTTTCCATCGAAATGTTCAAAGAGGTCCACATATCCGCTTGCAGATTCCACCGAAAGAGTGTTTCCAAACTGCTGCATCCAAAGGAATCCTCAGCTCCGTGAGTTGAAGGCAATCATCACCAAGAAGTTTCTGACAATGCTTCTCTCTAGTTTTTATGTGAAGATATTTCCTTATCCACCACAGGCCTGAAAGGGCTCCAAATGTCCACTTGGAGGCTCTACGAAAAGAATGTTTCAAAACTGCTCCATGAAAAGCAATGTTATACTCTGGGAGTTGAACACAAGCCTCACAAAGGAGTTTCTGAGAATGCTTCTGTTTACTTTTTACGTGAGGATATTCCCGTTTCCAAAGAAGTCTTCACAGAGTTCCACCTATCCATTTGCAGATGCTAGCAAAAGAGAGTTTCAAAACTGCTCTATCAAAAGGAATGTTCAACTCTGTGAGTTGCATGCAATCATCACAGAGAAGTTTCTGAGAAGGCTTCTGTCTAGATTTTATGTGAAGATATAGCCGTTTCGAACGAAGGCCACAAAGTGCTCCAAATATCCACTTGCAGGTCCTCCAAAAAGAGTGTTTCAAACGTGAACTACCAAAGGAAGGCTCAACTCTGGACTTTGAATGCCAACGTCAGAAGGATGTTTCTGCGAAAGCTTCTGTTTAGTTAGGCGACGTTATCCCGTTTCCAACGAAATCCTCAGAGAGGTCCAAATATCCACCTGCAGAGTCTACAAAAAGTGTGTTTCAAAACTGCTCCACCCAAAGGAATGTTCAGCTCTGTGAGTTGAACTCAATCATCCCAAAGTATTTTCTGAGAATGCTTCTGTCCAGTTTTTACATGAAGCTGTTTCGTTTACTACCATAGGCCTCAAAGCATTCCAAATCTCCACTTGAAGATAGTACGAAAAGAGGGTTTCAACCTGAACTCACAAGGGAAGTTTCAACTCTGTCAGTTGAATGCCAACATCACAAAGAAGTTCTGAGAGTGTTCCTCTTCAGTTATGTGAGGTTTATCCCGTTTCCAACGAAATTCTCAGAGAAGTCCCAATATCCACTTGCATATTCTACAAAACGTGTGTTTTGAAAATGCTCCATCAAAAGACCTGCTCAGCTCTGTGAGTTAAACTCAATCATCGCAAAGAATTTTCTGAGAATGCTTCTGTCTTGTTTTTAGATGAAGTTCTTTCCTTTACTACGACAGGCCTCAAAGACGTCCAAATCTCCACTTGCAGATTCTGCAGAAGGAGTGTTTCAAACCTGAACTGTCAGAGAAAGGTTCAACACTGTGAGTTGAATGCAAGCATCACGAAGAAGGTTCTGAGAATGCTTCCGTTTACATAGGTGAGTTCTCTCCCATATCCAACGAAATCCTCAGTGCGGTCCGAATCTCCACTTGCAGATTCTACACAAAGTGTGTTTGGAAACTGCTCCATCCAAAGCAATGTTCAGCTCCGTGAGTTGAACTCTATCGTCACAAAGTGTTTCCTGGGAATGCTACTGTCTCATTTTTATGTGCAGTTATATCCTCTACTGCCATAGGCCTCAAAGCGGTCCAAATCTCCCCTTTCAGATTCTACCAAAAGTGTGTTTCCAAAAGGCTCCATCAAAGGGAATGTTCAGCTCGGTGACTTGAAAGCAATCATCACAAAGCAGCTTCTGAGAATGCTTCCATGTAGCTTTGATGAGAAGATATTTCCTTTTCCACCCCAGGCCTCGAAGCCCTCCAAATGTCCCCTTGCAGATGCTAGAAAGAGAGGGTTTCAAAGCTACTCTATCAAAAGGAAAGTACAACTCTGTGAGTTGAATGCAAACATCACAAACAAGTTCCTGAGCATGCTTCCGTTTAGCTTTTATGGGAAGATTATCCCTTTTCCATCGAAATGTTCAAAGAGGTCCACATATCCGCTTGCAGATTTCACCGAAAGAGTGTTTCCAAACTGCTGTATCAAAAGGAATCCTCAACTCCGTGAGTTGAATGCAATCATCACCAAGAAGTTTCTGACAATGCTTCTCTCTAGTTTTTATGTGAAGATATTTCCTTTTCCACCACAGGCCTGAAAGCCCTCCAAATGTCCACTTGGGGGCTCTACGAAAAGAATGTTTCAAAACTGCTCTATGAAAAGCAATGTTATACTCTGGGAGTTGAACACAAGCCCCACAAAGGAGTTTCTGAGAATGCTTCTGTTTACTTTTTACGTGAGGATATTCCCGTTTCCAAAGAAGTCTTCACAGAGTTCCACCTATCCATTTGCAGATGCTAGCAAAAGACAGTTTCAAAACTGCTCTATCAAAAGGAATGTTCAACTCTGTGAGTTGCATGCAATCATCACAGAGAAGTTTCTGAGAAGGCTTCTGTCTAGATTTTATGTGAAGATACAGCCGTTTCGAACGAAGGCCACAAAGTGCTCAAAATATCCACTTGCAGGTCCTCCAAAAAGAGTGTTTCAAACGTGAACTACCAAAGGAAGGCTCAACTCTGGACTTTGAAGGCCAACGTCAGAAAGATGTTTCTGCGAAAGCTTCTGTTTAGTTAGGTGACGTTATCCCGTTTCCAACGAAATCCTCAGAGAGGTCCAAATATCCACCTGCAGAGTCTACAAAAAGTGTGTTTCAAAACTCCTCCACCCAAAGGAATGTTCAGCTCTGTGAGTTGAACTCAATCATCCCAAAGTATTTTCTGAGAATGCTTCTGTCCAGTTTTTACATGAAGCTGTTTCCTTTACTACCGTATGCCTCAAAGCGTTCCAAATCTCCACTTGGAGATAGTACGAAAAGAGCGTTTCAACCTGAACTAACAAGGGAAGGTTCAACTCTGTCAGTTGAATGCCAACATCACCAAGAAGTTCTGAGAATGTTCCTCTTCAGTTATGTGATGTTTATCCGGTTTCCAACGAAATTCTCAGAGAATTCCCAAAATCCACTTGCATATTCTACAAAAGGTGTGTTCTGAAAATGCGCCATCAAAAGATATGCTCCGCTCTGTGAGTTAAGCACAATCATCACAAAGAATTTTCTGAGAATGCTTCTGTCTTGTTTTTAGATGAAGTTCTTTCCTTTACTACGATAGGCCTCAAAGAGGTCCAAATCTCCACTTGCAGATTCTGCAGAAGGAGTGTTTCAAACCTGAACTATCAGAGAAAGGTTCAACACTGTGAGTTGAATGCAAGCATCACGAAGAAGGTTCTGAGAATGCTTCTGTTTACATAGGTGAGTTTTCTCCCGTATCCAATGAAATCCTCAGAGCGGTCCAAATCTCCACTTGCAGATTCTACAAAAAGTGTGTTTTGAAACTGCTCCATCCAAAGGAATGTTCAGCTCTGTGAATTGAACTCAATCGTCACAAAGTGTTTCCTGGGAATGCTCCTGTCTCCTTTTTATGTGCAGTTATATCCTCTACTGCCATAGGCCTCAAAGCGGTCCAAATCTCCCCTTTCAGATTCTACCAAAAGTGTGTTTCCAAACGGCTCCATCAAAGGGAATGTTCAACTCGGTGACTTGAATGCAATCATCACAAAGCAGTTTCTGAGAATGCTTCCATGTAGCTTTGATGAGAAGATATTTCCTTTTCCACCCCAGGCCTCGAAGCCCTCCAAATGTCCCCTTGGAGATGCTAGAAAGAGAGGGTTTCAAAGCTGCTCTATCAAAAGGAAAGTACAACTCTGTGAGTTGAATGCAAACTTCACAAAGAAGTTCCTGAGCATGCTTCCGTTTAGCTTTTACGGGAAGATTATCCCTTTTCCATCGAAATGTTCAAAGAGGTCCACATATCCGCTTGCAGATTCCACCGAAAGAGTGTTTCCAAACAGCTGCATCAAAAGGAATCCTCAGCTCCGTGAGTTGAATGCAATCATCACCAAGAGGTTTCTGACAATGCTTCTCTCTAGTTTTTATGTGAAGATATTTCCTTTTCCAACACAGGCCTGAAAGCCCTCCAAATGTCCACCTGGATGCTCTACGAAAAGAATGTTTCAAAACTGCTCTATGAAAAGCAATGTTATACTCTGGGAGTTGAACACAAGCCCCACAAAGGAGTTTCTGAGAATGCTTCTGTTTACTTTTTACGTGAGGATATTCCCGTTTCCAAAGAAGTCTTCACAGAGTTCCACCTATCCATTTGCAGATGCTAGCAAAAGAGAGTTTCAAAATTGCTCTATCAAAAGGAATGTTCAACTCTGTGAGTTGCATGCAATCATCACAGAGAAGTTTCTGAGAAGGCTTCTGTCTAGATTTTATGTGAAGATACAGCCGTTTCGAACGAAGGCCACAAAGTGCTCCAAATATCCACTTGCAGGTCCTCCAAAAAGAGTGTTTCAAACGTGAACTACCAAAGGAAGGCTCAACTCTGGACTTTGAATGCAAACGTCAGAAAGATTTTTCTGCGAAAGCTTCTGTTTAGTTAGGTGACGTTATCCCGTTTCCAACGAAATCGTCAGAGAGGTCCAAATATCCACCTGCAGAGTCTACAAAAAGTGTGTTTCAAAACTGCTCCACCAAAAGGAATGTTCAGCTCTGTGAGTTAAACTCAATCATCCCAAAGTATTTTCTGAGAATGCTTCTGTCCAGTTTTTACATGAAGCTGTTTCCTTTACAACCGTAGGCCTCAAAGCGTTCCAAACCTCCACTTACAGATACTACGAAAAGAGCGTTTCAACCTGAACTCACAAGGGAAGGTTCAACTCTGTCAGTTGAATGCCAACATCACCAAGAAGTTCTGAGAATGTTCCTCTTCAGTTATGTGAGGTTTATCCCGTTTCCAACGAAATTCTCAGAGAAGTCCCAAAATCCACTGGCATATTCCACAAAAGGTGTGTTTGGAAATTGCGCCATCAAAAGATATGCTCAGCTCTGTGAGTTAAACTCAATCATCGCAAAGAATTTTCTGAGAATGCTTCCGTCTTGTTTTTAGATGAAGTTCTTTCCTTCACTACGATAGTCCTCAAGGAGGTCCAAATCTCCACTTGCAGATTCTGCAGAAGGAGTGTTTCAAACCTGAACTGTCAGAGAAAGGTTCAACACTGTGAGTTGAATGCAAGCATCACGAAGAAGGTTCTGAGAATGCTTCTGTTTAC
Source organism: Homo sapiens (assembly GCF_000001405.40). Lineage (NCBI taxonomy): Eukaryota > Metazoa > Chordata > Mammalia > Primates > Hominidae > Homo > Homo sapiens. The sequence goes on along the minus strand of NC_000001.11, from coordinate 122,060,469 downwards.
ATAGGTGACTTTTCTCCCGTATCCAACGAAATCCTCAGAGCGGTCCAAATCTCCACTTGAAGATTCTACACAAAGTGTGTTTGGAAACTGCTCCACCCAAAGGAATGTTCAGCTCTGTGAGTTGAACTCAATGGTCACAAAGCGTTTCCTGGGAATGCTCCTGTCTCGCTTTTATGTGCAGTTATATCCTCTACTGCCATAGGCCTCAAAGCGGTCCAAATCTCCCCTTTCAGATTCTACCAAAAGTGTGTTTCCAAACGGCCCCATCAAAGGGGATGTTCAACTCGGTGACTTGAATGCAATCATCACAAAGCAGCTTCTGAGAATGCTTCCATGTAGCTTTGATGAGAAGATATTTCCTTTTCCACCCCAGGCCTCGAAGCCCTCCAAATGTCCCCTTGCAGATGCTAGAAAGAGGGGGTTTCAAAGCTGCTCTATCAAAAGGAAAGTACAACTCTGTGAGTTGAATGGAAACATCACAAGGAAGTTCCTGAGCATGCTTCCGTTTAGCTTTTATGGGAAGATTATCCATTTTCCATCGAAATGTTCAAAGAGGTCCACATATCCGCTTGCAGATTCCACCGAAAGAGTGTTTCCAAACTGCTGTATCAAAAGGAATCCTCAACTCCGTGAGTTGAATGCAATCATCACCAAGAAGTTTCTGACAATGCTTCTCTCTAGTTTTTATGTGAAGATATTTCCTTATCCACCACAGGCCTGAAAGGGCTCCAAATGTCCACTTGGAGGCTCTACGAAAAGAATGTTTCAAAACTGCTCCATGAAAAGCAATGTTATACTCTGGGAGTTGAACACAAGCCTCACAAAGGAGTTTCTGAGAATGCTTCTGTTTACTTTTTACGTGAGGATATTCCCCTTTCCAAAGAAGTCTTCACAGAGTTCCACCTATCCATTTGCAGATGCTAGCAAAAGAGAGTTTCAAAACTGCTCTATCAAAAGGAATGTTCAACTCTGTGAGTTGCATGCAATCATCACAGAGAAGTTTCTGAGAAGGCTTCTGTCTAGATTTTATTTGAAGATATAGCCGTTTCGAACGAAGGCCACAAAGTGCTCCAAATATCCACTTGCAGGTCCTCCAAAAAGAGTGTTTCAAACTTGAACTACCAAAGGAAGGCTCAACTCTGGACTTTGAATGCCAACGTCAGAAGGATGTTTCTGCGAAAGCTTCTGTTTAGTTAGGTGACGTTATCCCGTTTCCAACGAAATCCTCAGTGACGTCCAAATATCCACCTGCAGAGTCTACAAAAAGTGTGTTTCAGAACTGCTCCACCCAAAATAATGTTCAGCTCTGTGAGTTGAACTCAATCATCCCAAAATAGTTTCTGAGAATGCTTCTGTCCAGTTTTTACATGAAGCTGTTTCCTTTACTACCGTAGGCCTCAAAGCGTTCCAAATTTCCACTTGCAGATGCTACGAAAGGAGCGTTTCAACCTGAACTCACAAGGGAAGGTTCACCTCTGTCAGTTGAATGTCAACATCACAAAGAAGTTCTGAGAATGTTCCTCTTCAGTTATGTGAGGTTTATCCCGTTTCCAACGAAATTCTCAGAGAAGTCCCAATATCCACTTGCATATTCTACAAAACGTGTGTTTTGAAAATGCTCCATCAAAAGACCTGCTCAGCTCTGTGAGTTAAACTCAATCATCGCAAAGAATTTTCTGAGAATGCTTCTGTCTTGTTTTTAGATGAAGTTCTTTCCTTTACTACGACAGGCCTCAAAGACGTCCAAATCTCCACTTGCAGATTCTGCAGAAGGAGTGTTTCAAACCTGAACTGTCAGAGAAAGGTTCAACACTGTGAGTTGAATGCAAGCATCACGAAGAAGGTTCTGAGAATGCTTCCGTTTACGTAGGTGAGTTCTCTCCCGTATCCAACGAAATCCTCAGAGCGGTCCGAATCTCCACTTGCAGATTCTACACAAAGTGTGTTTGGAAACTGCTCCATCCAAAGGAATGTTCAGCTCTGTGAGTTGAACTCAATCGTCACAAAGTGTTTCCTGGGAATGCTACTGTCTCGTTTTTATGTGCAGTTATATCCTCTACTGCCATAGGCCTCAAAGCTGTCCAAATATCCCCTTTAGGATTCTACCAAAATTGTGTTTCCCAACGGCTCCATCAAAGGGAATGTTCAGCTCGGTGACTTGAAAGCAATCATCACGAAGCAGCTTCTGAGAATGCTTCCATGTAGCTTTGATGAGAAGATATTTCCTTTTCCACCCCAGGCCTCGAAGCCCTCCAAATGTCCCCTTGCAGATGCTAGAAAGAGAGGGTTTCAAAGCTGCTCTATCAAAAGGAAAGTACAACTCTGCGAGTTGAATGCAAACATCACAAAGAAGTTCCTGAGCATGCTTCAGTTTAGCTTTTATGGGAAGATTATCCCTTTTCCATCGCAACGTTCAAAGAGGTCCACATATCCGCTTGCAGATTCCACCGAAAGAGTGTTTCCAAACTGCTGCATCAAAAGGAATCCTCAGCTCCGTGAGTTGAATGCAATCATCACCAAGAGGATTCTGACAATGCTTCTCTCTAGTTTTTATGTGAAGATATTTCCTTTTCCACCACAGGCCTGAAAGCACTCCAAATGTCCACTTGGAGGCTCTACGAAAAGAATGTTTCAAAACTGCTCTATGAAAAGCAATGTTATACTCTGGGAGTTGAACACAAGCCTCACAAAGGAGTTTCTGAGAATGCTTCTGTTTACTTTTTACGTGAGGATATTCCCGTTTCCAAAGAAGTCTTCACAGAGTTCCACCTATCCATTTGCAGATGCTAGCAAAAGAGAGTTTCAAAACTGCTCTATCAAAAGGAATGTTCAACTCTGTGAGTTGCATGCAATCATCACAGAGAAGTTTCTGAGAAGGCTTCTGTCTAGATTTTATGTGAAGATATAGCTGTTTCGAACGAAGACCACAATGTGCTCCAATATCCACTTGCAGGTCCTCCAAAAAGAGTGTTTCAAACGTGAACTACCAAAGGAAGGCTCAACTGTGGACTTTGAATGCCAACGTCAGAAAGATGTTTCTGCGAAAGCTTCTGTTTAGTTAGGTGACGTTATCCCGTTTCCAACGAAATCCTCAGAGAGGTCCAAATATCCACCAGCAGAGTCTACAAAAAGTGTGTTTCAAAACTGCTCCACCCAAAGGAATGTTCAGCTCTGTGAGTTGAACTCAATCATCCCAAAGTATTTCCTGAGAATGCTTCTGTCCAGTTTTTACATGAAGCTGTTTCCTTTACTACCGTAGGCCTCAAAGCGTTCCAAATCTCCACTTGCAGATGCTACGAAAAGAGTGTTTCAACCTGAACTCACAAGGGAAGGTTCACCTCTGTCAGTTGAATGTCAACATCACAAAGAAGTTCTGAGAATGTTTTCCTCTTCAGTTATGTGAGGTTTATCCTGTTTCCAACGAAATTCTCAGAGAAATCCCAATATCCACTTGCATATTCTACAAAAGGTGTGTTTTGAAAATGCTCCATCATCTATGACAAACCCACAGCCAATATCATACTGAATGGGCAAA
>NC_000001.11:122026459-122056834 GCF_000001405.40 Homo sapiens | reverse complement strand
TCTGTCTTGTTTTTAGATGAAGTTCTTTCCTTTACTACGACAGGCCTCAAAGACGTCCAAATCTCCACTTGCAGATTCTGCAGAAGGAGTGTTTCAAACCTGAACTGTCAGAGAAAGGTTCAACACTGTGAGTTGAATGCAAGCATCACGAAGAAGGTTCTGAGAATGCTTCCGTTTACGTAGGTGAGTTCTCTCCCGTATCCAACGAAATCCTCAGAGCGGTCCGAATCTCCACTTGCAGATTCTACACAAAGTGTGTTTGGAAACTGCTCCATCCAAAGGAATGTTCAGCTCCGTGAGTTGAACTCAATCGTCACAAAGTGTTTCCTGGGAATGCTACTGTCTCGTTTTTATGTGCAGTTATATCCTCTACTGCCATAGGCCTCAAAGCTGTCCAAATATCCCCTTTAGGATTCTACCAAAATTGTGTTTCCCAACGGCTCCATCAAAGGGAATGTTCAGCTCGGTGACTTGAAAGCAATCATCACAAAGCAGCTTCTGAGAATGCTTCCATGTAGCTTTGATGAGAAGATATTTCCTTTTCCACCCCAGGCCTCGAAGCCCTCCAAATGTCCCCTTGCAGATGCTAGAAAGAGAGGGTTTCAAAGCTGCTCTATCAAAAGGAAAGTACAACTCTGCGAGTTGAATGCAAACATCACAAAGAAGTTCCTGAGCATGCTTCCGTTTAGCTTTTATGGGAAGATTATCCCTTTTCCATTGGAATGTTCAAAGAGGCCCACATATCCACTTGCAGATTCCACCGAAAGAGTGTTTCCAAACTGCTGCATCAAAAGGAATCCTCAGCTCCGTGAGTTGAATGCAATCATCACCAAGAAGTTTCTGACAATGCTTCTCTCTAGTTTTTATGTGAAGATATTTCCTTATCCACCACAGGCCTGAAAGGGCTCCAAATGTCCACTTGGAGGCTCTACGAAAAGAATGTTTCAAAACTGCTCCATGAAAAGCAATGTTATACTGTGGGAGTTGAACACAAGCCTCACAAAGGAGTTTCTGAGAATGCTTCTGTTTACTTTTTACGTGAGGATATTCCCGTTTCCAAAGTAAGTCTTCACAGAGTTCCACCTATCCATTTGCAGATGCTAGCAAAAGAGAGTTTCAAAACTGCTCTATCAAAAGGAATGTTCAACTCTGTGAGTTGCATGCAATCATCACAGAGAAGTTTCTGAGAAGGCTTCTGTCTAGATTTTATGTGAAGATATAGCCGTTTCGAACGAAGGCCACAAAGTGCTCCAAATATCCACTTGCAGGTCCTCCAAAAAGAGTGTTTCAAACGTGAACTACCAAAGGAAGGCTCAACTCTGGACTTTGAATGCCAACGTCAGAAGGATGTTTACTGTGAAAGCTTCTGTTTAGTTAGGTGACGTTATCCCGCTTCCAACGAAATCCTCAGAGAGGTCCAAATATCCACCTGCAGAGTCTACAAAAAGTGTGTTTCAGAACTGCTCCACACAAAGGAATGCTCATCTCTGTGAGTTGAACTCAATCATCCCAAAGTATTTTCTGAGAATGCTTCTGTCCAGTTTTTACATGAAGCTGTTTCCTTTACTACCGTAGGCGTCAAAGCGTTCCAAATCTCCACTTGCAGATGCTACGAAAAGAGCGTTTCAACCTGAACTCACAAGGGAAGGTTCAACTCTGTCAGTTGAATGTCAACATCACAAAGAAGTTCTGAGAATGTTCCTCTTCAGTTATGTGAGGTTTATCCCGTTTCCAACGAAATTCTCAGAGAAGTCCCAAAATCCACTGGCATATTCCACAAAAGGTGTGTTTGGAAAATGCGCCATCAAAAGATATGCTCCGCTCTGTGAGTTAAACTCAATCATCGCAAACAATTTTCTAAGAATGCTTCCGTCTTGTTTTTAGATGAAGTTCTTTCCTTTACTACGATAGGCCTCAAGGAGGTCCAAATCTCCACTTGCAGATTCTGCAGAAGGAGTGTTTCAAACCTGAACTGTCAGAGAAAGGTTCAACACTGTGAGTTGAATGCAAGCATCACGAAGAAGGTTCTGAGAATGCTTCTGTTTATGTAGGGGACTTTTCTCCCGTATCCAACGAAATCCTCAGAGCGGTCCAAATCTCCACTTGCAGATTCTACACAAAGTGTGTTTGGAATCTGCTCCACCCAGAGGTATGTTCAGCTCTGTGAGTTGAACTCAATGGTCACAAAGCGTTTCCTGGGAATGCTCCTGACTCGCTTTCATGTGCAGTTATATCCTCTACTGCCATAGGCCTCAAAGCGGTCCAAATCTCCCCTTTCAGATTCTACCAAAAGTGTGTTTCCAAACGGCCCCATCAAAGGGGATGTTCAACTCGGTGACTTGAATGCAATCATCAGAAAGCAGGTTCTGAGAATGCTTCCATGTAGGTTTGATGAGAAGATACTTCCTTTTCCACCCCAGGCCTCGAAGCCCTCCAAATGTCCCCTTGCAGATGCTAGAAAGAGGGAGTTTCAAAGCTGCTCTATCAAAAGGAAAGTACAACTCTGTGAGTTGAATGCAAACATCACAAGGAAGTTCCTGAGCATGCTTCCGTTTAGCTTTTACGGGAAGATTATCCCTTTTCCATCGAAATGTTCAAAGAGGTCCACATATCCGCTTGCAGATTCCACCGAAAGAGTGTTTCCAAACTGCTGCATCCAAAGGAATCCTCAGCTCCGTGAGTTGAATGCAATCATCACCAAGAAGTTTCTGACAATGCTTCTCTCTAGTTTTTATGTGAAGATATTTCCTTTTCCAACGCAGGCCTGAAAGTGACCCAAATGTCCACTTGGAGGCACTACGAAAAGAATGTTTCAAAACTGCTCTATGAAAAGCAATGTTATACTCTGGGAGTTGAACACAAGCCTCACAAAGGAGTTTCTGAGAATGCTTCTGTTTACTTTTTACGTGAGGATATTCCCGTTTCCAAAGAAGTCTTCAAAGAGTTCCACCTACCCATTTGCAGATGCTAGCAAAAGAGAGTTTCAAAACTGCTCCATCAAAAGGAATGTTCAACTCTGTGAGTTGCATGCAATCATCACAGAGAAGTTTCTGAGAAGGCTTCTGTCTAGATTTTATGTGAAGATATGGCCGTTTCGAACGAAGGCCACAAAGTGCTCCCAATATCCACTTGCAGGTCCTCCAAAAAGAGTGTTTCAAACGTAAACTACCAAAGGAAGGCTCAACTCTGGACTTTGAATGCCAACGTCAGAAGGATGTTTCTGCGAAAGCTTCTGTTTAGTTAGGCGACGTTATCCCATTTCCAACGAAATCCTCAGAGAGGTCCAAATATCCACCTGCAGAGTCTACAAAAAGTGTGTTTCAAAACTGCTCCACCCAAAGGAATGTTCAGCTCTGTGAGTTGAACTCAATCATCCCAAAGTATTTTCTGAGAATGCTTCTGTCCAGTTTTTACATGAAGCTGTTTCCTTTACTACCGTAGGCCTCAAAGCGTTCCAAATCTCCACTTGCAGATGCTACGAAAAGAGCGTTTCAACCTGAACTCACAAGGGAAGGTTCACCTCTGTCAGTTGAATGTCAACATCACAAAGAAGTTCTGAGAAGGTTCCTCTTCAGTTATGTGAGGTTTATCCCGTTTCCAACGAAATTCTCGGAGAAGTCCCAATATCCACTTGCATATACTACAAAACGTGTGTTTTGAAAATGCTCCATCAAAAGACCTGCTCAGCTCTGTGAGTTAAACTCAATCATCGCAAAGAATTTTCTGAGAATGCTTCTGTCTTGTTTTTAGATGAAGTTCTTTCCTTTACTACGACAGGCCTCAAAGAGGTCCAAATCTCCACTTGCAGATTCTGCAGAAGGAGTGTTTCAAACCTGAACTGTCAGAGAAAGGTTCAACACTGTGAGTTGAAGGCAAGCATCACGAAGAAGGTTCTGAGAATGCTTCTGTTTACGTAGGTGACTTTTCTCCCGTATCCAACGAAATCCTCAGAGCGGTCCAAATCTCCACTTGCAGATTCTACACAAGGTGTGTTTGGAAACTGCTTCACCCAAAGGAATGTTCAGCTCTGTGAGTTGAACTCAATCGTCACAGAGCGTTTCCTGGGAATGCTACTGTCTCGTTTTTATGTGCAGTTATATCCTCTACTGCCATAGGCCTCAAAGCGGTCCAAATCTCCCCTTTCAGATTCTACCGAAAGTGTGTTTCCAAACGGCTCCATCAAAGGGAATGTTCAGCTCGGTGACTTGAAAGCAATCATCACAAAGCAGCTTCTGAGAATGCTTTCCATGTATCTTTGATGAGAAGACATTTCCTTTTCCACCCCAGGCCTCGAAGCCCTCCAAATGTCCCCTTGCAGATGCTAGAAAGAGAGGGTTTCAAAGCTGCTCTATCAAAAGGAAAGTACAACTCTGCGAGTTGAATGCAAACATCACAAAGAAGTTCCTGAGCATGCTTCCGTTTAGCTTTTACGGGAAGATTATCCCTTTTCCATCGAAATGTTCAAAGAGGTCCACATATCCGCTTGCAGATTCCACCGAAAGAGTGTTTCCAAACTGCTGCATCAAAAGGAATCCTCAGCTCCGTGAGTTGAATGCAATCATCACCAAGAAGTTTGTGACAATGCTTCTCTCTAGTTTTTATGTGAAGATATTTCCTTTTCCACCGCAGGCCTGAAAGCGCTCCAAATGTCCACTTGGAGGCTCTACGAAAAGAATGTTTCAAAACTGCTCTATGAAGAGCCAAGTTATACTCTGGGAGTTGAACACAAGCCTCACAAAGGAGTTTCTGAGAATGCTTCTGTTTACTTTTTACGTGGGGATATTCCCGTTTCCAAAGAAGTCTTCACAGAGTTCCACCTATCCATTTGCAGATGCCAGCAAAACTAGAGAGTTTCAAAACTGCTCTATCAAAAGGAATGTTCACCTCTGTCAGTTGCGTGCAATCATCACAGAGAAGTTTCTGAGAAGGCTTCTGTCTAGATTTTATGTGAAGATATAGCCGTTTCGAATGAAGGCCACAAAGTGCTCCAAATATCCACTTGCAGGTCCTCCAAAAAGAGTGTTTCAAACGTGAACTACCAAAGGAAGGCTCAACTCGGGACTTTGAAGGCCAACGTCAGAAGGATGTTTTTGCGGAAGCTTCTGTTTAGTTAGGTGACGTTATCCCGTTTCCAACGAAATCCTCAGAGAGGTCCAAATATCCACCTGCAGAGTCTACAAAAAGTGTGTTTCAAAACTGCTCCACCCAAAGGAATGTTCAGCTCTGTGAGTTGAACTCAATCATCCCAAAGTATTTTCTGAGAATGGTTCTGTCCAGTTTTTACATGAAGCTGTTTCCTTTACTACCGTAGGCCTCAAAGCGTTCCAAATCTCCACTTGCAGATACTACGAAAAGAGCGATTCAACCTGAACTCACAAGGGAAGGTTCAACTCTGTCAGTTGAATGCCAACATCACAAAGAAGTTCTGAGAATGTTCCTCTTCAGTTATGTGAGGTTTATCCCGTTTCCAACGAAATTCTCAGAGAAGTCCCAAAATCCACTTGCATATTCTACAAAAGGTGTGTCTTGAAAATGCGCCATCAAAAGATATGCTAAGCTCTGTGAGTTAAACTCAATCATCGCAAAGAATTTTCTGAGAATGCTTCTGTCTTGTTTTTAGATGAAGTTCTTTCCTTTACTACGATAGGCCTCAAAGAGGTCCAAATCTCCACTTGCAGATTCTGCAGAAGGAGTGTTTCAAACCTGAACTGTCAGAGAAAGGTTCAACACTGTGAGTTGAATGCAAGCATCACGAAGAAGGTTCTGAGAATGCTTCTGTTTACGTAGGTGACTTTTCTCCCGTATCCAACGAAATCCTCAGAGCGGTCCAAATCTCCACTTGCGGATTCTACACAAAGTGTGTTTGGAAACTGCTCCATCCAAAGGAATGTTCAGCTCTGTGAGTTGCACTCAATCGTCACAAAGTGTTTCCTGGGAATGCTCCTGTGTCGCTTTTATGTGCAGTTATATCCTCTACTGCCATAGGCCTCAAAGCGGTCCAAATCTCCCCTTTCAGATCCTACCAAAAGTGTGTTTCCAAACGGCTCCATCAAAGGGAATGTTCAACTCGGTGACTTGAATGCAATCATCCCAAAGCAGCTTCTGAGAATGCTTCCATGTAGCTTTGATGAGAAGATATTTCCTTTTCCACCCCAGGCCTCGAAGCCCTCCAAATGTCCCCTTGCAGATGCTAGAAAGAGGGGGTTTCAAAGCTGCTCTATCAAAAGGAAAGTACAACTCTGTGAGTTGAATGCAAACATCACAAGGAAGTTCCTGAGCATGCTTCCGTTTAGCTTTTACGGGAAGATTATCCCTTTTCCATAGAAATGTTCAAAGAGGTCCACATATCCGCTTGCAGATTCCACCGAAAGAGTGTTTCCAAACTGCTGCATCAAAAGGAATCCTCAGCTCCGTGAGTTGAATGCAATCATCACCAAGAAGTTTCTGACAATGCTTCTCTCTAGCTTTTATGTGAAGATATTTCCTTTTCCACCGCAGGCCTGAAAGCGCTCCAAATGTCCACTTGGAGGCTCTACTAAAAGAATGTTTCAAAACTGCTCTATGAAAAGCAATGTTATACTCTGGGAGTTGAACACAAGCCTCACAAAGGAGTTTCTGAGAATGCTTCTGTTTACTTTTTACGTGAGGATATTCCCGTTTCCAAAGAAGTCTTCACAGAGTTCCACCTATCCATTTGCAGATGCTAGCAAAAGAGAGTTTCAAAACTGCTCTATCAAAAGGAATGTTCCACTCTGTGAGTTGCATGCAATCATCACAGAGAAGTTTCTGAGAAGGCTTCTGTCTAGATTTTATGTGAAGATATAGCCGTTTCGAACGAAGGCCACAAAGTGCTCCAAATATCCACTTGCAGGTCCTCCAAAAAGAGTGTTTCAAACGTGAACTACCAAAGGAAGGCTCAACTGTGGACTTTGAATGCCAACGTCAGAGAGATGTTCCTGCGAAAGCTTCTGTTTAGTTAGGCGACGTTATCCCGTTTCCAACGAAATCCTCAGAGAGGTCCAAATATCCACCAGCCGAGTCTACAAAAAGTGTGTTTCAAAACTGCTCCACCCAAAGGAATGTTCAGCTCTGTGAGTTGAACTCAATCATCCCAAAGTATTTTCTGAGAATGCTTCTGTCCAGTTTTTACATGAAGCTGTTTCCTTTACTACCGTAGGCCTCAAAGCGTTCCAAATCTCCACTTGCAGATGCTACGAAAAGAGTGTTTCAACCTGAACTCACAAGGGAAGGTTCACCTCTGTCAGTTGAATGTCAACATCACAAAGAAGTTCTGAGAATGTTCCTCTTCAGTTATGTGAGGTTTATCCCGTTTCCAACGAAATTCTCAGAGAAGTCCCAAAATCCACTTGCCTATTCTACAAAAGGTGTGTTTTGAAAATGCGCCATCAAAAGATATGTCAGCTCTGTGAGTTAAACTCAATCATCGCAAAGAATTTTCTGAGAATGCTTCTGTCTTGTTTTCAGATGAAGTTCTTTCCTTTACTACGACAGGCCCCAAAGAGGTCCAAATCTCCACTTGCAGATTCTGCAGAAGGAGTGTTTCAAACCTGAACCGTCAGAGGAAGGTTCAACACTGTGAGTTGAATGCAAGCATCACCAATTAGGTTCTGAGAATGCTTCTGTTTACGTAGGTGAGTTCTCTCCCGTATCCAACGAAATCCTCAGAGCGGTCCGAATCTCCACTTGCAGATTCTACACAAAGTGTGTTTGGAAACTGCTCCATCCAAAGGAATGTTCAGCTTCGTGAGTTGAACTCAATCGTCACAAAGTGTTTCCTGGGAATGCTACTGTCTCGTTTTTATGTGCAGTTTTATCCTCTACTGCCACAGGCCTCAAAGCGGTCCAAATCTCCCCTTTCAGATTCTACCAAAAGTGTGTTTCCAAAAGGCTCCATCAAAGGGAATGTTCAGCTCGGTGACTTGAAAGCTATCATCACAAAGCAGCTTCTTAGAATGCTTCCATGTATCTTTAATGAGAAGACATTTCCTTTTCCACCCCAGGCCTCGAAGCCCTCCAAATGTCCCCTTGCAGATGCTAGAAAGAGAGGGTTTCAACGCTGCTCTATCAAAAGGAAAGTAAAACTCTGCGAGTTGAATGCAAACATCACAAAGAAGTTCCTGAGCATGCTTCCGTTTAGCTTTTATGGGAAGATTATCCCTTTTCCATCGGAATGTTCAAAGAGGTCCACGTATCCGCTTGCAGATTCCACCGAAAGAGTGTTTCCAAACTGCTGCATCAAAAGGAATCCTCAGCTCCGTGAGTTGAATGCAATCATCACCAAGAAGTTTCTGACAATGCTTCTCTCTAGTTTTTATGTGAAGATATTTCCTTATCCACCACAGGCCTGAAAGGGCTCCAAATGTCCACTTGGAGGCTCTACGAAAAGAATGTTTCAAAACTGCTCCATGAAAAGCAATGTTATACTCTGGGAGTTGAACACAAGCCTCACAAAGGAGTTTCTGAGAATGCTTCTGTTTACTTTATACGTGAGGATATTCCCGTTTCCAAAGAAGTCTTCACAGAGTTCCACCTATCCATTTGCAGATGCTAGCAAAAGAGAGTTTCAAAACTGCTCTATCAAAAGGAATGTTCAACTCTGTGAGTTGCATGCAATCATCACAGAGAAGTTTCTGAGAAGGCCTCTGTCTAGATTTTATGTGATGATATAGCCGTTTCGAACGAAGGCCACAAAGTGCTCCAAATATCCACTTGCAGGTCCTCCAAAAAGAGTGTTTCAAACGTGAACTACCAAAGGAAGGCTCAACTCTGGACTTTGAATGCCAACGTCAGAAGGATGTTTCTGCGAAATCTTCTGTTTAGTTAGGCGACGTTATCCCGTTTCCAACGAAATCCTCAGAGACGTCCAAATATCCACCTGCAGAGTCTACAAAAAGTGTGTTTCAGAACTGCTCCACCCAAAGGAATGTTCAGCTCTGTGAGTTGAACTCAATCATCCCAAAGTAGTTTCTGAGAATGCTTCTGTCCAGTTTTTACATGAAGCTGTTTCCTTTACTACCGTAGGCCTCAAAGCGTTCCAAACCTCCACTTGCAGATACTACGAAAAGAGCGTTTCAACTTGAACTCACAAGGAAAGGTTCAACTCTGTCAGTTGAATGCCAACATCACAAAGAAGTTCTGAGAATGTTCCTCTTCAGTTATGTGAGGTTTATCCCGTTTCCAACGAAATTCTCAGAGAAGTCCCAAAATCCACTGGCATATTCCACAAAAGGTGTGTTTGGAAAATGCGCCATCAAAAGATATGCTCCGCTCTGTGAGTTAAACTCAATCATCGCAAACAATTTTCTAAGAATGCTTCTGTCTTGTTTTTAGATGAAGTTCTTTCCTTTACTACGATAGGCCTCAAAGAGGTCCAAATCTCCACTTGCAGATTCTGCAGAAGGAGTGTTTAAAACCTGAACTATCAGAGAAAGGTTCAACACTGTGAGTTGAATGCAAGCATCACGAAGAAGGTTCTGAGAATGCTTCTGTCTTGTTTTTAGATGAAGTTCTTTCATTTACTACGATAGGCCTCAAAGAGGTCCAAATCTCGACTTGCAGATTCTGCAGAAGGAGTGTTTAAAACCTGAACTATCAGAGAAAGGTTCAACACTGTGAGTTGAATGCAAGCATCAGGAAGAAGGTTCTGAGAATGCTTCTGTCTTGTTTTTAGATGAAGTTCTTTCCTTTACTACGATAGGCCTCAAAGAGGTCCAAATCTCCACTTGCAGATTCTGCAGAAGGAGTGTTTCAAACCTGAACTATCAGAGAAAGGTTCAACACTGTGAGTTGAATGCAAGCATCACGAAGAAGGTTCTGAGAATGCTTCTGTTTACATAGGTGAGTTTTCTCCCGTATCCAATGAAATCCTCAGAGCGGTCCAAATCTCCACTTGCAGATTCTACAAAAAGTGTGTTTTGAAACTGCTCCATCCAAAGGAATGTTCAGCTCTGTGAATTGAACTCAATCGTCACAAAGTGTTTCCTGGGAATGCTCCTGTCTCGCTTTTATGTGCAGTTATATCCTCTACTGCCATAGGCCTCAAAGCGGTCCAAATCTCCCCTTTCAGATTCTACCAAAGGTGTGTTTCCAAACGGCCCCATCAAAGGGGATGTTCAACTCGGTGACTTGAATGCAATCATCACAAAGCAGCTTCTGAGAATGCTTCCATGTAGCTTTGATGAGAAGATATTTCCTTTTCCACCCCAGGCCTCGAAGCCCTCCAAACGTCCCCTTGCAGATGCTAGAAAGAGGGGGTTTCAAAGCTGCTCTATCAAAAGGAAAGTACAACTCTGTGAGTTGAATGCAAACATCACAAGGAAGTTCCTGAGCATGCTTCCGTTTAGCTTTTACGGGAAGATTATCCCTTTTCCATCGAAATGTTCAAAGAGGTCCACATATCCGCTTGCAGATTCCACCGAAAGAGTGTTTCCAAACTGCTGCATCCAAAGGAATCCTCAGCTCCGTGAGTTGAATGCAATCATCACCAAGAAGTTTCTGACAATGCTTCTCTCTAGTTTTTATGTGAAGATATTTCCTTTTCCACCGCAGGCCTGAAAGCGCTCCAAATGTCCACTTGGAGGCTCTACGAAAAGAATGTTTCAAAACTGCTCTATGAAAAGCAATGTTATACTCTGGGAGTTGAACACAAGCCTCACAAAGGAGTTTCTGAGAATGCTTCTGTTTACTTTTTACGTGAGGATATTCCCGTTTCCAAAGAAGTCTTCACAGAGTTCCACTTATACATTTGCAGATGCTAGCAAAAGAGAGTTTCAAAACTGCTCCATCAAAAGGAATTTTCAACTCTGTGAGTTGCATGCAATCATCACAGAGAAGTTTCTGAGAAGGCTTTCTGTCTAGATTTTATGTGAAGATATAGCCGTTTCGAACGAAGGCCACAAAGTGCTCCAAATATCCACTTGCAGGTCCTCCAGAAAGAGTGTTTCAAACGTGAACTACCAAAGGAAGGCTCAACTCTGGACTTTGAATGCCAACGTCAGAAGGATGTTTCTGCGAAAGCTTCTGTTTAGTTAGGCGACGTTATCCCGTTTCCAACGAAATCCACAGAGAGGTCCAAATATCCACCTGCAGAGTCTACAAAAAGTGTGTTTCAAAACTGCTCCACCCAAAGGAATGTTCAGCTCTGTGAGTTGAACTCAATCATCCCAAAGTAGTTTCTGAGAATGCTTCTGTCCAGTTTTTACATGAAGCTGTTTCCTTTACAACCGTAGGCCTCAAAGCGTTCCAAACCTCCACTTACAGATACTACGAAAAGAGCGTTTCAACCTGAACTCACAAGGGAAGGTTCAACTCTGTCAGTTGAATGCCAACATCACCAAGAAGTTCTGAGAATGTTCCTCTTCAGTTATGTGAGGTTTATCCCGTTTCCAACGAAATTCTCAGAGAAGTCCCAAAATCCACTGGCATATTCCACAAAAGGTGTGTTTGGAAATTGCGCCATCAAAAGATATGCTCAGCTCTGTGAGTTAAACTCAATCATCGCAAAGAATTTTCTGAGAATGCTTCCGTCTTGTTTTTAGATGAAGTTCTTTCCTTCACTACGATAGTCCTCAAGGAGGTCCAAATCTCCACTTGCAGATTCTGCAGAAGGAGTGTTTCAAACCTGAACTGTCAGAGAAAGGTTCAACACTGTGAGTTGAATGCAAGCATCACGAAGAAGGTTCTGAGAATGCTTCTGTTTACATAGGTGACTTTTCTCCCGTATCCAACGAAATCCTCAGAGCGGTCCAAATCTCCACTTGAAGATTCTACACAAAGTGTGTTTGGAAACTGCTCCACCCAAAGGAATGTTCAGCTCTGTGAGTTGAACTCAATGGTCACAAAGCGTTTCCTGGGAATGCTCCTGTCTCGCTTTTATGTGCAGTTATATCCTCTACTGCCATAGGTCTCAAAGCGGTCCAAATCTCCCCTTTCAGATTCTACCAAAAGTGTGTTTCCAAACGGCCCCATCAAAGGGGATGTTCAACTCGGTGACTTGAATGCAATCATCACAAAGCAGCTTCTGAGAATGCTTCCATGTAGCTTTGATGAGAAGATATTTCCTTTTCCACCCCAGGCCTCGAAGCCCTCCAAATGTCCCCTTGCAGATGCTAGAAAGAGGGGGTTTCAAAGCTGCTCTATCAGAAGGAAAGTACAACTCTGTGAGTTGAATGCCAACATCACAAGGAAGTTCCTGAGCATGCTTCCGTTTAGCTTTTACGGGAAGATTATCCCTTTTCCATCGAAATGTTCAAAGAGGTCCACATATCCGCTTGCAGATTCCACCGAAAGAGTGTTTCCAAACTGCTGCATCCAAAGGAATCCTCAGCTCCGTGAGTTGAATGCAATCATCACCAAGAAGTTTCTGACAATGCTTCTCTCTAGTTTTTATGTGAAGATATTTCCTTTTCCACCGCAGGCCTGAAAGCGCTCCAAATGTCCACTTGGAGGCTCTACGAAAAGAATGTTTCAAAACTGCTCTATGAAAAGCAATGTTATACTCTGGGAGTTGAACACAAGCCTCACAAAGGAGTTTCTGAGAATGCTTCTGTTTACTTTTTACGTGAGGATATTCCCGTTTCCAAAGAAGTCTTCACAGAGTTCCACCTATCCATTTGCAGATGCTAGCAAAAGAGAGTTTCAAAACTGCTCCATCAAAAGGAATGTTCAACTCTGTGAGTTGCATGCAATCATCACAGAGAAGTTTCTGAGATGGCTTCTGTCTAGATTTTATGTGAAGATATAGCCGTTTCGAACGAAGGCCACAAAGTGCTCCAAATATCCACTTGCAGGTCCTCCAAAAAGAGTGTTTCAAACGTGAACTACCAAAGGAAGGCTCAACTCTGGACTTTGAATGCCAACGTCAGAAGGATGTTTCTGCGAAAGCTTCTATTTAGTTAGGTGACGTTATCCCGTTTCCAACGAAATCCTCAGAGAGGTCCAAATATCCACCTGCAGAGTCTACAAAAAGTGTGTTTCAAAACTGCTCCACCCAAAGGAATGTTCAGCTCTGTGAGTTGAACTCAATCATCCCAAAGTATTTTCTGAGAATGCTTCTGTCCAGTTTTTACATGAAGCTGTTTCCTTTACTACCGTAGGCCTCAAAGCGTTCCAAACCTCCACTTGCAGATACTACGAAAAGAGCGTTTCAACCTGAACTCACAAGGGAAGATTCAACTCTGTCAGTTGAATGCCAACATCACCAAGAACTTCTGAGAATGTTCCTCTTCAGTTACGTGAGGTTTATCCCGTTTCCAACGAAATTCTCAGAGAAGTCCCAAAATCCACTTGCATATTCCACAAAAGGTGTGTTTGGAAAATGCGCCATCAAAAGATATGCTCAGCTCTGTGAGTTAAACTCAATCATCGCAAAGAATTTTCTGAGAATGCTTCCGTCTTGTTTTTAGATGAAGTTCTTTCCTTTACTACGATAGGCCTCAAAGAGTTCCAAATCTCCACTTGCAGATTCTGCAGAAGGAGTGTTTCAAACCTGAACTGTCAGAGAAAGGTTCAATACTGTGAGTTGAATGCAAGCATCACGAAGAAGGTTCTGAGAATGCTTCTGTTTACGTAGGTGACTTTTCTCCCGTATCCAACGAAATCCTCAGAGCGGTCCAAATCTCCACTTGCAGATTCTACACAAAGTGTGTTTGGAAACTGCTCCACCAAAGGAATGTTCAGCTCTGTGAGTTGAACTCAATCGTCACAAAGCGTTTCCTGGGAATGCTCCTGTCTCGCTTTTATGTGCAGTTATATCCTCTACTGCCATAGACCTCAAAGCGGTCCAAATCTCCCCTTTCAGATTCTACCAAAAGTGTGTTTCCAAACGGCCCCATCAAAGGGGATGTTCAACTCGGTGACTTGAATGCAATCATCACAAAGCAGCTTCTGAGAATGCTTCCATGTAGCTTTGATGAGAAGATATTTCCTTTTCCACCCCCGGCCTCGAAGCCCTCCAAATGTCCCCTTGCAGATGCTAGAAAGAGGGGGTTTCAAAGCTGCTCTATCAGAAGGAAAGTACAACTCTGTGAGTTGAATGCAAACATCACAAGGAAGTTCCTGAGCATGCTTCCGTTTAGCTTTTACGGGAAGATTATCCCTTTTCCATCGAAATGTTCAAAGAGGTCCACATATCCGCTTGCAGATTCCACCGAAAGAGTGTTTCCAAACTGCTGCATCCAAAGGAATCCTCAGCTCCGTGAGTTGAATGCAATCATCACCAAGAAGTTTCTGACAATGCTTCTCTCTAGTTTTTATGTGAAGATATTTCCTTTTCCACCGCAGGCCTGAAAGCGCTCCAAATGTCCACTTGGAGGCTCTACGAAAAGAATGTTTCAAAACTGCTCTATGAAAAGCAATGTTATACTCTGGGAGTTGAACACAAGCCTCACAAAGGAGTTTCTGAGAATGCTTCTGTTTACTTTTTACGTGAGGATATTCCCGTTTCCAAAGAAGTCTTCACAGAGTTCCACCTACCCATTTGCAGATGCTAGCAAAAGAGAGTTTCAAAACTGCTCTATCAAAAGGAATGTTCAACTCTGTGAGTTGCATGCAATCATCACAGAGAAGTTTCTGAGAAGGCTTCTGTCTAGATTTTACGTGAAGATATAGCCGTTTCGAACGAAGGCCACAAAGTGCTCCAAATATCCACTTGCAGGTCCTCCAAAAAGAGTGTTTCAAACGTGAACTACCAAAGGAAGGCTCAACTCTGGACTTTGAAGGCCAACGTCAGAAGGATGTTTCTCCGAAAGCTTCTGTTTAGTTAGGTGACGTTATCCCGTTTCCAACGAAATCCTCGGAGAGGTCCAAATATCCACCTGCAGAGTCTACAAAAAGTGTGTTTCAAAACTGCTCCACCCAAAGGAATGTTCAGCTCTGTGAGTTGAACTCAATCATCCCAAAGTATTTTCTGAGAATGCTTCTGTCCAGTTTTTACATGAAGCTGTTTCCTTTACTACCGTAGGCCTCAAAGCGTTCCAAACCTCCACTTGCAGATACTACGAAAAGAGCGTTTCAACCTGAACTCACAAGGGAGGGTTCAACTCTGTCAGTTGAATGTCAACATCACCAAGAACTTCTGAGAATGTTCCTCTTCAGTTATGTGAGGTTTATCCCGTTTCCAACGAAATTCTCAGAGAAGTCCCAAAATCCACTGGCATATTCCACAAAAGGTGTGTTTGGAAAATGCGCCATCAAAAGATATGCTCCGCTCTGTGAGTTAAACTCAATCATCGCAAACAATTTTCTAAGAATGCTTCCGTCTTGTTTTTAGATGAAGTTCTTTCCTTTACTACGATAGGCCTCAAGGAGGTCCAAATCTCCACTTGCAGATTCTGCAGAAGGAGTGTTTCAAACCTGAACTGTCAGAGAAAGGTTCAACACTGTGAGTTGAATGCAAGCATCACGAAGAAGGTTCTGAGAATGCTTCTGTTTGTGTAGGTGACTTCTCTCCCGTATCCAACGAAGTCCTCAGAGCGGTCCAAATCTCCACTTGCAGATTCTACACAAAGTGTGTTTGGAAACTGCTCCATCCAAAGGAATGTTCAGCTCTGTGAGTTGAACTCAAGCATCACAATGTGTTTCCTGGGAATGCTCCTGTCTCGTTTTTATGTGCAGTTATATCCTCTACTGCCATAGGCCTCAAAACGGTACAAATCTCCCCTTTCAGATTCTACCAAAAGTGTGTTTCCAAACGGCTCCATCAAAGGGAATGTTCAACTCGGTGACTTGAATGCAATCATCACAAAGCAGCTTCTGAGAATGCTTCCATGTAGCTTTGATGAGAAGATATTTCCTTTTCCACCCCAGGCCTCGAAGCCCTCCAAATGTCCCCTTGCAGATGCTAGAAAGAGGGGGTTTCAAAGCTGCTCTATCAGAAGGAAAGTACAACTCTGTGAGTTGAATGCAAACATCACAAGGAAGTTCCTGAGCATGCTTCCGTTTAGCTTTTACGGGAAGATTATCCCTTTTCCATCGAAATGTTCAAAGAGGTCCACATATCCGCTTGCAGATTCCACCGAAAGAGTGTTTCCAAACTGCTGCATCCAAAGGAATCCTCAGCTCCGTGAGTTGAATGCAATCATCACCAAGAAGTTTCTGACAATGCTTCTCTCTAGTTTTTATGTGAAGATATTTCCTTTTCCACCGCAGGCCTGAAAGCGCTCCAAATGTCCACTTGGAGGCTCTACGAAAAGAATGTTTCAAAACTGCTCTATGAAAAGCAATGTTATACTCTGGGAGTTGAACACAAGCCTCACAAAGTAGTTTCTGAGAATGCTTCTGTTTACTTTTTACGTGAGGATATTCCCGTTTCCAAAGAAGTCTTCACAGAGTTCCACCTATCCATTTGCAGATGCTAGCAAAAGAGAGTTTCAAAACTGCTCCATCAAAAGGAATCTTCAACTCTGTGAGTTGCATGCAATCATCACAGAGAAGTTTCTGAGAAGGCTTCTGTCTAGATTTTTTGTGAAGATATGGCCGTTTCGAACGAAGGCCACAAAGTGCTCCCAATATCCACTTGCAGGTCCTCCAAAAAGAGTGTTTCAAACGTAAACTACCAAAGGAAGGCTCAACTCTGGACTTTGAATGCCAACGTCAGAAGGATGTTTCTGCGAAAGCTTCTGTTTTGTTAGGTGACGTTATCCCGTTTCCAACGAAATCCTCAGAGAGGTCCAAATATCCACCTGCAGAGTCTACAAAAAGTGTGTTTCAAAACTGCTCCACCCAAAGGAATGTTCAGCTCTGTGAGTTGAACTCAATCATCCCAAAGTATTTTCTGAGAATGCTTCTGTCCAGTTTTTACATGAAGCTGTTTCCTTTACTACCGTAGGCCTCAAAGCGTTCCAAACCTCCACTTGCAGATACTACGAAAAGAGCGTTTCAACCTGAACTCACAAGGGAAGTTTCAACCCTGTCAGTTGAATGCCAACATCACCAAGAACTTCTGAGAATGTTCCTCTTCAGTTACGTGAGGTTTATCCCGTTTCCAACGAAATTCTCAGAGAAGTCCCAAAATCCACTTGCATATTCCACAAAAGGTGTGTTTTGAAAATGCGCCATCAAAAGATATGCTCAGCTCTGTGAGTTAAACTCAATCATCGCAAAGTATTTTCTGAGAATGCTTCCGTCTTGTTTTTAGATGAAGTTCTTTCCTTTACTACGATAGGCCTCAAGGAGGTCCAAATCTCCACTTGCAGATTCTGCAGAAGGAGTGTTTCAAACCTGAACTGTCAGAGAAAGTTTCAACACTGTGAGTTGAATGCAAGCATCACGAAGAAGGTTCTGAGAATGCTTCTGTTTACGTAGGTGACTTTTCTCCCGTATCCAACGAAACCCTCAGAGCGGTCCAAATCTCCACTTGCAGATTCTACACAAAGTGTGTTTGGAAACTACTCCACCCAAGGGAATGTTCAGCTCTGTGAGTTGAACTGAATGGTCACAAAGCGTTTCCTGGGAATGCTCCTGTCTCGCTTTCATGTGCAGTTATATCCTCTACTGCCATAGGCCTCAAAGCGGTCCAAATCTCCCCTTTCAGATTCTACCAAAAGTGTGTTTCCAAACGGCCCCATCAAAGGGGATGTTCAACTCGGTGACTTGAATGCAATCATCACAAAGCAGCTTCTGAGAATGCTTCCATGTAGCTTTGATGAGAAGATATTTCCTTTTCCACCCCAGGCCTCGAAGCCCTCCAAATGTCCCCTTGCAGATGCTAGAAAGAGGGGGTTTCAAAGCTGCTCTATCAAAAGGAAAGTACAACTCTGTGAGTTGAATGCAAACATCACAAGGAAATTCCTGAGCATGCTTCCGTTTAGCTTTTACGGGAAGATTATCCCTTTTCCATCGAAATGTTCAAAGAGGTCCACATATCCGCTTGCAGATTCCACCGAAAGAGTGTTTCCAAACTGCTGCATCAAAAGGAATCCTCAGCTCCGTGAGTTGAATGCAATCATCACCAAGAAGTTTCTGACAATGCTTCTCTCTAGTTTTTATGTGAAGATATTTCCTTTTCCACCGCAGGCCTGAAAGCGCTCCAAATGTCCACTTGGAGGCTCTACGAAAAGAATGTTTCAAAACTGCTCTATGAAAAGCAATGTTATACTCTGGGAGTTGAACACAAGCCTCACAAAGGAGTTTCTGAGAATGCTTCTGTTTACTTTTTACGTGAGGATATTCCCGTTTCCAAAGAAGTTTTCACAGAGTTCCACCTATCCATTTGCAGATGCCAGCAAAACTAGAGAGTTTCAAAACTGCACTATCAAAAGGAATGTTCAACTCTGTGAGATGCATGCAATCATCACAGAGAAGTTTCTGAGAATGCTTCTGTCTACATTTTATGTGAAGATATAGCCGTTTCGAACGAAGGCCACAAAGTGCTCCAAATATCCACTTGCAGGTCCTCCAAAAAGAGTGTTTCAAACGTGAACTACCAAAGGAAGGCTCAACTCGGGACTTTGAAGGCCAACGTCAGAAGGATATTTCTGCGGAAGCTTCTGTTTAGTTAGGTGACGTTATCCCGTTTCCAACGAAATCCTCAGAGAGGTCCAAATATCCACCTGCAGAGTCTACAAAAAGTGTGTTTCAAAACTGCTCAACCCAAAGGAAGGTTCAGCTCTGTGAGTTGAACTCAATCATCCCAAAGTATTTTCTGAGAAGGCTTCTGTCCAGTTTTTACATGAAGCTGTTTCCTTTACTACCGTAGGCTTCAAAGCGTTCCAAACCTCCACTTGCAGATAGTACGAAAAGAGCGTTTCAACCTGAACTCACAAGGGAAGGTTCAACTCTGTCAGTTGAATGCCAACGTCACCAAGAACTTCTGAGAATGTTCCTCTTCAGTTATGTGAGGTTTATCCCGTTTCCAACGAAATTCTCAGAGAAGTCCCAAAATCCACTTGCATATTCTACAAAAGGTGTGTCTTGAAAATGCGTCATCAAAAGATATGCTCACCTCTGTGAGTTCAACTCAATCATCGCAAAGAATTTTCTGAGAATGCTTCTGTCTTGCTTTTAGATGAAGTTCTTTCCTTTACTACGATAGGCCTCAAAGAGGTCCAAATCTCCACTTGCAGATTCTGCAGAAGGTGTGTTTCAAACCTGAACTGTCAGAGAAAGGTTCAACACTGTGAGTTGAATGCAAGCATCACGAAGAAGGTTCTGAGAATGCTTCTGTTTACGTAGGTGACTTTTCTCCCGTATCCAACGAAATCCTCAGAGCGGTCCAAATCTCCACTTGAAGATTCTACACAAAGTGTGTTTGGAAACTGCTCCACCCAAAGGAATGTCCAGCTCTGTGAGTTGAACTCAATGGTCACAAAGCGTTTCCTGGGAATGCTCCTGTCTCGCTTTTATGTGCAGTTATATCCTCTACTGCCATAGGCCTCAAAGCGGTCCAAATCTCCCCTTTCAGATTCTACCAAAAGTGTGTTTCCAAACGGCCCCATCAAAGGGGATGTTCAACTCGGTGACTTGAATGCAATCATCACAAAGCAGCTTCTGAGAATGCTTCCATGTAGCTTTGATGAGAAGATATTTCCTTTTCCACCCCAGGCCTCGAAGCCCTCCAAATGTCCCCTTGCAGATGCTAGAAAGAGGGGGTTTCAAAGCTGCTCTATCAAAAGGAAAGTACAACTCTCTGAGTTGAATGCAAACATCACAAGGAAGTTCCTGAGCATGCTTCCGTTTAGCTTTTACGGGAAGATTATCCCTTTTCCATCGAAATGTTCAAAGAGGTCCACATATCCGCTTGCAGATTCCACCGAAAGAGTGTTTCCAAACTGCTGCATCAAAAGGAATCCTCAGCTCCGTGAGTTGAATGCAATCATCACCAAGAAGTTTCTGACAATGCTTCTCTCTAGTTTCTATGTGAAGATATTTCCTTTTCCACCGCAGGCCTGAAAGCGCTCCAAATGTCCACTTGGAGGCTCTATGAAAAGAATGTTTCAAAACTGCTCTATGAAAAGCAATGTTATACTCGGGGAGTTGAACACAAGCCTCACAAAGGAGTTTCTGAGAATGCTTCTGTTTACTTTTTACGTGAGGATATTCCCGTTTCCAAAGAAGTCTTCACAGAGTTCCACCTATCCATATGCAGATGCTAGCAAAAGAGAGTTTCAAAACTGCTCCATCAAAAGGAATGTTTAACTCTGTGAGTTGCATGCAATCATCACAGAGAAGTTTCTGAGAATGCTTCTGTCTAGATCTTAGGTGAAGATATGGCCGTTTCGAACGAAGGCCACAAAGTGCTCCCAATATCCACTTGCAGGTCCTCCAAAAAGAGTGTTTCAAACGTGAACTACCAAAGGAAGGCTCAACTCTGGACTTTGAATGCCAACGTCAGAAGGATGTTTCTGCGAAAGCTTCTGTTTAGTTAGGTGACGTTATCCCGTCTCCAACGAAATCCTCAGAGAGGTCCAAATATCCACCTGCAGAGTCTACAAAAAGTGTGTTTCAAAACTGCTCCACCCAAAGGAATGTTCAGCTCTGTGAGTTGAACTGAATCATCCCAAAGTATTTTCTGACAATGCTTCTGTCCAGTTTTTACATGAAGCTGTTTCCTTTACTACCGTAGGCCTCAAAGGGTTCCAAATCTCCACTTGCAGATACTACGAAAAGAGCGATTAAACCTGAACTCACAAGGGAAGGTTCAACTCTGTCAGTTGAATGCCAACATCACAAAGAAGTTCTGAGAATGTTTCCTCTTCAGTTATGTGAGGTTTATCCCGTTTCCAACGAAATTCTCAGAGAAGTCCCAAAATCCACTGGCATATTCCACAAAAGGTGTGTTTGGAAATTGCGCCATCAAAAGATATGCTCAGCTCTGTGAGTTAAACTCAATCATCGCAAAGAATTTTCTGAGAATGCTTCCGTCTTGTTTTTAGATGAAGTTCTTTCCTTTACTACGATAGGCCTCAAGGAGGTCCAAATCTCCACTTGCAGATTCTGCAGAAGGAGTGTTTCAAACCTGAACTGTCAGAGAAAGGTTCAACACTGTGAGTTGAATGCAAGCATCACGAAGAAGGTTCTGAGAATGCTTCTGTTTACGTAGGTGACTTTTCTCCCGTATCCAACGAAATCCTCAGAGCGGTCCAAATCTCCACTTGAAGATTCTACACAAAGTGTGTTTGGAAACTGCTCCACCCAAAGGAATGTCCAGCTCTGTGAGTTGAACTCAATGGTCACAAAGCGTTTCCTGGGAATGCTCCTGTCTCGCTTTTATGTGCAGTTATATCCTCTACTGCCACAGGCCTCAAAGCGGTCCAAATCTCCCCTTTCAGATTCTACCAAAAGTGTGTTTCCAAACGGCTCCATCAAAGGGAATGTTCAACTCGGTGACTTCAATGCAATCATCACAAAGCGGCTTCAGAGAATGCTTCCATGTAGCTTTGATGAGAAGATATTTCCTTTTCCACCCCAGGCCTCGAAGCCCTCCAAATGTCCCCTTGCAGATGCTAGAAAGAGGGGGTTTCAAAGCTGCTCTATCAAAAGGAAAGTACAACTCTGTGAGTTGAATGCAAACATCACAAGGAAGTTCCTGAGCATGCTTCCGTTTAGCTTTTACGGGAAGATTATCCCTTTTCCATCGAAATGTTCAAAGAGGTCCACATATCCGCTTGCAGATTCCACCGAAAGAGTGTTTCCAAACTGCTGCATCCAAAGGAATCCTCAGCTCCGTGAGTTGAATGCAATCATCACCAAGAAGTTTCTGACAATGCTTCTCTCTAGTTTTTATGTGAAGATATTTCCTTTTCCACCGCAGGCCTGAAAGCGCTCCAAATGTCCACTTGGAGGCACTACGAAAAGAATGTTTCAAAACTGCTCTATGAAAAGCAATGTTATACTCTGGGAGTTGAACACAAGCCTCACAAAGGAGTTTCTGAGAATGCTTCTGTTTACTTTTTACGTGAGGATATTCCCGTTTCCAAAGAAGTCTTCACAGAGTTCCACCTATACATTTGCAGATGCTAGCAAAAGAGAGTTTCAAAACTGCTCCATCAAAAGGAATGTTCAACTCTGTGAGTTGCATGCAATCATCACAGAGAAGTTTCTGAGAAGGCTTCTGTCTAGATTTTATGTGAAGATATGGCCGTTTCGAACGAAGGCCACAAAGCGCTCCCAATATCCACTTGCAGGTCCTCCAAAAAGAGTGTTTCAAACGTGAACTAACAAAGGAAGGCTCAACTCTGGACTTTGAATGCCAACGTCAGAAGGATGTTTCTGCGAAAGCTTCTGTTTAGTTAGGTGACGTTATCCCGTTTCCAACGAAATCCTCAGAGAGGTCCAAATATCCACCTGCAGAGTCTACAAAAAGTGTGTTTCAAAACTGCTCCACCCAAAGGAATGTTCAGCTCTGTGAGTTGAACTCAATCATCCCAAAGTATTTTCTGAGAATTCTTCTGTCCAGTTTTTACATGAAGCTGTTTCCTTTACAACCGTAGGCCTCAAAGCGTTCCAAACCTCCACTTACAGATACTACGAAAAGAGCGTTTCAACCTGAACTCACAAGGGAAGGTTCAACTCTGTCAGTTGAATGCCAACATCACCAAGAAGTTCTGAGAATGTTCCTCTTCAGTTACGTGAGGTTTATCCCGTTTCCAACGAAATTCTCAGAGAAGTCCCAAAATCCACTTGCATATTCCACAAAAGGTGTGTTTTGAAAATGCGCCATCAAAAGATATGCTCAGCTCTGTGAGTTAAACTCAATCATCGCAAAGAATTTTCTGAGAATGCCTCTGTCTTGTTTTTAGATGAAGTTCTTTCCTTTACTACGACAGGCCTCAAAGAGTTCCAAATCTCCACTTGCAGATTCTGCAGAAGGAGTGTTTCAAACCTGAACTATCAGAGAAAGGTTCAACACTGTGAGTTGAATGCAAGCATCACGAAGATGGTTCTGAGAATGCTTCTGTTTACGTAGGTGAGTTCTCTCCCGTATCCAACGAAATCCTCAGAGCGGTCCGAATCTCCACTTGCAGATTCTACACAAAGTGTGTTTGGAAACTGCTCCATCCAAAGGAATGTTCAGCTCTGTGAGTTGATCTCCATCGTCACAAAGTGTTTCCTGGGAATGCCCCTGTCTCGCTTTTATGTGCAGTTATATCCTCTACTGCCATAGGCCTCAAAGCGGTCCAAATCTCCCCTTTCAGATTCTACCAAAAGTGTGTTTCCAAACGGCCCCATCAAAGGGGATGTTCAACTCGGTGACTTGAATACAATCATCAGAAAGCAGCTTCTGAGAATGCTTCCATGTATCTTTGATGAGAAGACATTTCCTTTTCCACCCCAGGCCTCGAAGCCCTCCAAATGTCCCCTTGCAGATGCTAGAAAGAGAGGGTTTCAAAGCTGCTCTATCAAAAGGAAAGTACAACTCTGCGAGTTGAATGCAAACATCACAAAGAAGTTCCTGAGCATGCTTCCGTTTAGCTTTTATGGGAAGATTATCCCTTTTCCATCGGAATGTTCAAAGAGGTCCACGTATCCGCTTGCAGATTCCACCGAAAGAGTGTTTCCAAACTGCTGCATCAAAAGGAATCCTCAGCTCCGTGAGTTGAATGCAATCATCACCAAGAAGTTTCTGACAATGCTTCTCTCTAGTTTTTATGTGAAGATATTTCCTTATCCACCACAGGCCTGAAAGGGCTCCAAATGTCCACTTGGAGGCTCTACGAAAAGAATGTTTCAAAACTGCTCCATGAAAAGCAATGTTATACTCTGGGAGTTGAACACAAGCCTCACAAAGGAGTTTCTGAGAATGCTTCTGTTTACTTTTTACGTGAGGATATTCCCGTTTCCAAAGAAGTCTTCACAGAGTTCCACCTATCCATTTGCAGATGCTAGCAAAAGAGAGTTTCAAAACTGCTCCATCAAAAGGAATGTTCAACTCTGTGAGTTGCATGCAATCATCACAGAGAAGTTTCTGAGAAGACTTCTGTCTAGATTTTACGTGAAGATATAGCCGTTTCGAACGAAGGCCACAAAGTGCTCCAAATATCCACTTGCAGGTCCTCCAAAAAGAGTGTTTCAAACGTGAACTACCAAAGGAAGGCTCAACTACTGGACTTTGAACACCAACGTCAGAAGGATGTTTGCTGCGAAAGCTTCTGTTTAGTTAGGCGACGTTATCCCGTTTCCAACGAAATCCTCAGAGAGGTCCAAATATCCACCTGCAGAGTCTACAAAAAGTGTGTTTCAAAACTGCTCCACCCAAAGGAATGTTCAGCTCTGTGAGTTGAACTCAATCATCCCAAAGTAGTTTCTGAGAATGCTTCTGTCCAGTTTTTACATGAAGCTGTTTCCTTTACTACCGTAGGCCTCAAAGCGTTCCAAATCTCCACTTGCAGATGCTACGAAAAGAGCGTTTCAACCTGAACTCACAAGGGAAGGTTCACCTCTGTCAGTTGAATGTCAACATCACAAAGAAGTTCTGAGAAGGTTCCTCTTCAGTTATGTGAGGTTTATCCCGTTTCCAACGAAATTCTCGGAGAAGTCCCAATATCCACTTGCATATACTACAAAACGTGTGTTTTGAAAATGCTCCATCAAAAGACCTGCTCAGCTCTGTGAGTTAAACTCAATCATCGCAAAGAATTTTCTGAGAATGCTTCTGTCTTGTTTTTAGATGAAGTTCTTTCCTTTACTACGACAGGCCTCAAAGAGGTCCAAATCTCCACTTGCAGATTCTGCAGAAGGAGTGTTTCAAACCTGAACTGTCAGAGAAAGGTTCAACACTGTGAGTTGAAGGCAAGCATCACGAAGAAGGTTCTGAGAATGCTTCCGTTTACATAGGTGAGTTCTCTCCCATATCCAACGAAATCCTCAGTGCGGTCCGAATCTCCACTTGCAGATTCTACACAAAGTGTGTTTGGAAACTGCTCCATCCAAAGCAATGTTCAGCTCCGTGAGTTGAACTCTATCGTCACAAAGTGTTTCCTGGGAATGCTACTGTCTCGTTTTTATGTGCAGTTATATCCTCTACTGCCATAGGCCTCAAAGCGGTCCAAATCTCCCCTTTCAGATTCTACCGAAAGTGTGTTTCCAAACGGCTCCATCAAAGGGAATGTTCAGCTCGGTGACTTGAAAGCAATCATCACAAAGCAGCTTCTGAGAATGCTTCCATGTAGCTTTCATGAGAAGATATTTCCTTTTCCACCCCAGGCCTCGAAGCCCTCCAAATGTCCCCTTGCAGATGCTAGAAAGAGAGGGTTTCAAAGCTGCTCTATCAAAAGGAAAGTACAACTCTGCGAGTTGAATGCAAACATCACAAAGAAGTTCCTGAGCATGCTTCCGTTTAGCTTTTACGGGAAGATTATCCCTTTTCCATCGGAATGTTCAAAGAGGTCTACATATCCGCTTGCAGATTCCACCGAAAGAGTGTTTCCAAACTGCTGCATCAAAAGGAATCCTCAGCTCCGTGAGTTGAATGCAATCATCACCAAGAAGTTTCTGAGAATGCTTCTCTCTAGTTTTTATGTGAAGATATTTCCTTATCCACCACAGGCCTGAAAGCGCTCCAAATGTCCACTTGGAGGCTCTACGAAAAGAATGTTTCAAAACTGCTCCATGAAAAGCAATGTTATACTCTGGGAGTTGAACACAAGCCTCACAAAGGAGTTTCTGAGAATGCTTCTGTTTACTTTTTACGTGAGGATATTCCCGTTTCCAAAGAAGTCTTCACAGAGTTCCACCTATCCATTTGCAGATGCTAGCAAAAGAGAGTTTCAAAACTGCTCTATCAAAAGGAATGTTCAACTCTGTGAGTTGCATGCAATCATCACAGAGAAGTTTCTGAGAAGGCTTCTGTCTAGATTTTATGTGAAGATATAGCCGTTTCGAACGAAGGCCACAAAGTGCTCCAATATCCACTTGCAGGTCCTCCAAAAAGAGTGTTTCAAACGTGAACTACCAAAGGAAGGCTCAACTGTGGACTTTGAATGCCAACGTCAGAAAGATGTTTCCGCGAAAGCCTCTGTTTAGTTAGGCGACGTTATCCCATTTCCAACGAAATCCTCAGAGAGGTCCAAATATCCACCTGCAGAGTCTACAAAAAGTGTGTTTCAAAACTGCTCCACCCAAAGGAATGTTCAGCTCTGTGAGTTGAACTCAATCATCCCAAAGTATTTTCTGAGAATGCTTCTGTCCAGTTTTTACATGAAGCTGTTTCCTTTACTACCGTAGGCCTCAAAGCGTTCCAAATCTCCACTTGCAGATGCTACGAAAAGAGTGTTTCAACCTGAACTCACAAGGGAAGGTTCACCTCTGTCAGTTGAATGTCAACATCACAAAGAAGTTCTGAGAATGTTCCTCTTCAGTTATGTGAGGTTTATCCCGTTTCCAACGAAATTCTCTGAGAAGTCCCAAAATCCACTTGCATATTCTACAAAAGGTGTGTTTTGAAAATGCGCCATCAAAAGATATGCTCAGCTCTGTGAGTTAAACTCAATCATCGCAAAGAATTTTCTGAGAATGCTTCTGTCTTGTTTTTAGATGAAGTTCTTTCCTTTACTACGACAGGCCTCAAAGAGGTCCAAATCTCCACTTGCAGATTCTGCAGAAGGAGTGTTTCAAACCTGAACCGTCAGAGGAAGGTTCAACACTGTGAGTTGAATGCAAGCATCACGAAGAAGGTTCTGAGAATGCTTCTGTTTACGTAGGTGAGTTCTCTCCCGTATCCAACGAAATCCTCAGAGCGGTCCGAATCTCCACTTGCAGATTCTACACAAAGTGTGTTTGGAAACTGCTCCATCCAAAGGAATGTTCAGCTCCGTGAGTTGAACTCAATCGTCACAAAGTGTTTCCTGGGAATGCTACTGTCTCATTTTTATGTGCAGTTATATCCTCTACTGCCATAGGCCTCAAAGCGGTCCAAATCTCCCCTTTCAGATTCTACCAAAAGTGTGTTTCCAAAAGGCTCCATCAAAGGGAATGTTCAGCTCGGTGACTTGAAAGCAATCATCACAAAGCAGCTTCTGAGAATGCTTCCATGTATCTTTGATGAGAAGATATTTCCTTTTCCACCCCAGGCCTCGAAGCCCTCCAAATGTCCCCTTGCAGATGCTAGAAAGAGAGGGTTTCAAAGCTGCTCTATCAAAAGGAAAGTACAACTCTGCGAGTTGAATGCAAACATCACAAAGAAGTTCCTGAGCATGCTTCCGTTTAGCTTTTATGGGAAGATTATCCCTTTTCCATCGGAATGTTCAAAGAGGTCCACGTATCCGCTTGCAGATTCCACCGAAAGAGTGTTTCCAAACTGCTGCATCAAAAGGAATCCTCAGCTCCGTGAGTTGAATGCAATCATCACCAAGAAGTTTCTGACAATGCTTCTCTCTAGTTTTTATGTGAAGATATTTCCTTATCCACCACAGGCCTGAAAGGGCTCCAAATGTCCACTTGGAGGCTCTACGAAAAGAATGTTTCAAAACTGCTCCATGAAAAGCAATGTTATACTCTGGGAGTTGAACACAAGCCTCACAAAGGAGTTTCTGAGAATGCTTCTGTTTACTTTTTACGTGAGGATATTCCCGTTTCCAAAGAAGTCTCCACAGAGTTCCACCTATCCATTTGCAGATGCTAGCAAAAGAGAGTTTCAAAACTGCTCTATCAAAAGGAATGTTCAACTCTGTGAGTTGCATGCAATCATCACAGAGAAGTTTCTGAGAAGGCTTCTGTCTAGATTTTATGTGAAGATATAGCCGTTTCGAACGAAGGCCACAAAGTGCTCCAAATATCCACTTGCAGGTCCTCCAAAAAGAGTGTTTCAAACGTGAACTACCAAAGGAAGGCTCAACTCTGGACTTTGAATGCCAACGTCAGAAGGATGTTTCTGCGAAAGCTTTCTGTTTAGTTAGGCGACGTTATCCCGTTTCCAACGAAATCCTCAGAGAGGTCCAAATATCCACCTGCAGAGTCTACAAAAAGTGTGTTTCAAAACTGCTCCACCCAAAGGAATGTTCAGCTCTGTGAGTTGAACTCAATCACCCCAAAGTATTTTCTGAGAATGCTTCTGTCCAGTTTTTACATGAAGCTGTTTCCTTTACTACCGTAGGCCTCAAAGCGTTCCAAATTTCCACTTGCAGATGCTACGAAAGGAGCGTTTCAACCTGAACTCACAAGGGAAGGTTCACCACTGTCAGTTGAATGTCAACATCACAAAGAAGTTCTGAGAATGTTCCTCTTCAGTTATGTGAGGTTTATCCCGATTCCAACGAAATTCTCAGAGAAGTCCCAAAATCCACTTGCATATTCTACAAAAGGTGTGTTTGGAAAATGCGCCATTAAAATATATGCTCAGCTCTGTGAGTTAAACTCAATCATCGCAAAGAATTTTCTGAGAATGCTTCTGTCTTGTTTTTAGATGAAGTTCTTTCCTTTACTACGATAGGCCTCAAAGAGGTCCAAATCTCCACTTGCAGATTCTGCAGAAGGAGTGTTTCAAACCTCAACTGTCAGAGAAAGGTTCAACACTGTGAGTTGAATGCAAGCATCACGAAGAAGGTTCTGAGAATGCTTCTGTTTACGTAGGTGAGTTCTCTCCCGTATCCAACGAAATCCTCAGAGCGGTCCGAATCTCCACTTGCAGATTCTACACAAAGTGTGTTTGGAAACTGCTCCATCCAAAGGAATGTTCAGCTCCGTGAGTTGAACTCAATCGTCACAAAGTGTTTCCTGGGAATGCTACTGTCTCGTTTTTATGTGCAGTTTTATCCTCTACTGCCACAGGCCTCAAAGCGGTCCAAATCTCCCCTTTCAGATTCTACCAAAAGTGTGTTTCCAAACGGCTCCATCAAAGGGAATGTTCAGCTCGGTGACTTGAAAGCAATCATCACAAAGCAGCTTCTGAGAATGCTTCCATGTATCTTTGATGAGAAGACATTTCCTTTTCCACCCCAGGCCTCGAAGCCCTCCAAATGTCCCCTTGCAGATGCTAGAAAGAGAGGGTTTCAAAGCTGCTCTATCAAAAGGAAAGTACAACTCTGCGAGTTGAATGCAAACATCACAAAGAAGTTCCTGAGCATGCTTCCGTTTAGCTTTTATGGGAAGATTATCCCTTTTCCATCGGAATGTTCAAAGAGGTCCACGTATCCGCTTGCAGATTCCACCGAAAGAGTGTTTCCAAACTGCTGCATCAAAAGGAATCCTCAGCTCCGTGAGTTGAATGCAATCATCACCAAGAAGTTTCTGACAATGCTTCTCTCTAGTTTTTATGTGAAGATATTTCCTTATCCACCACAGGCCTGAAAGGGCTCCAAATGTCCACTTGGAGGCTCTACGAAAAGAATGTTTCAAAACTGCTCCATGAAAAGCAATGTTATACTCTGGGAGTTGAACACAAGCCTCACAAAGGAGTTTCTGAGAATGCTTCTGTTTACTTTTTACGTGAGGATATTCCCGTTTCCAAAGAAGTCTCCAC
This sequence comes from Homo sapiens, assembly GCF_000001405.40. NCBI lineage: Eukaryota > Metazoa > Chordata > Mammalia > Primates > Hominidae > Homo > Homo sapiens. The sequence continues at coordinate 122,027,421 of NC_000001.11, read as the reverse complement.
AGAGTTCCACCTATCCATTTGCAGATGCTAGCAAAAGAGAGTTTCAAAACTGCTCTATCAAAAGGAATGTTCAACTCTGTGAGTTGCATGCAATCATCACAGAGAAGTTTCTGAGAAGGCTTCTGTCTAGATTTTATGTGAAGATATGGCCGTTTCGAACGAAGGCCACAAAGTGCTCCCAATATCCACTTGCAGGTCCTCCAAAAAGAGTGTTTCAAACGTGAACTACCAAAGGAAGGCTCAACTCTGGACTTTGAATGCCAACGTCGAAAGATGTTTCTGCGAAAGCTTCTGTTTAGTTAGGTGACGTTATCCCGCTTCCTACGAAATCCTCAGAGAGGTCCAAATATCCACCTGCAGAGTCTCCAAAAGTGTGTTTCAAAACTGCTCCACCCAAAGGAATGTTCAGCTCTGTGAGTTGAACTCAATCATCCCAAAGTATTTTCTGAGAATGCTTCTGTCCAGTTTTTACATGAAGCTGTTTCCTTTACTACCGTAGGCCTCAAAGCGTTCCAAATCTCCACTTGCAGATGCTACGAAAAGAGCGTTTCAACCTGAACTCACAAGGGAAGGTTCACCTCTGTCAGTTGAATGTCAACATCACAAAGAAGTTCTGAGAAGGTTCCTCTTCAGTTATGTGAGGTTTATCCCGTTTCCAACGAAATTCTCGGAGAAGTCCCAATATCCACTTGCATATACTACAAAACGTGTGTTTTGAAAATGCTCCATCAAAAGACCTGCTCAGCTCTGTGAGTTAAACTCAATCATCGCAAAGAATTTTCTGAGAATGCTTCTGTCTTGTTTTTAGATGAAGTTCTTTCCTTTACTACGACAGGCCTCAAAGAGGTCCAAATCTCCACTTGCAGATTCTGCAGAAGGAGTGTTTCAAACCTGAACTGTCAGAGAAAGGTTCAACACTGTGAGTTGAAGGCAAGCATCACGAAGAAGGTTCTGAGAATGCT
>NC_000001.11:121974457-121976459 GCF_000001405.40 Homo sapiens | reverse complement strand
ATTCTACTCACCGGGATTGATCTCTTCCACTTCTGAGGTTCTGAGTTGAGACACTCGATTTTGTAGAATCTGCAAGTGGAGATTTGGACTGCTTGGAGGCCTACGGTAGTAAAGGATATAGCTTCATGTAAAAACTGGACAGAAGCATTCTCAGAAAATACTTTGTGATGATTGAATTTAACTCACAGATCTGAACGTGCCTTTGGATGGAGCAGCTTTGAAACACACTTTTTGTAGAATCTGCAAGTGGATATTTGGACCTCTCTGAGGATTTTGTTGGAAACGGGATAACATCATCTAACTAAACAGAAGCTTTCCCAGAAACTTCTTTGTAATGTTTGCATTCCAAGCCCAGAGTTGAACCTTCCTTTGTTAGTTCACGTTTGTAACACTCTTTTTGTAGGATCTGCATGTGGATATTTGGAGCACTTTGTGGACTTCATTCGAAACGGGTATATCTTCACGTAAAATCTAGACGGAAGCCTTCTCAGAAACTGCTTTGTGATGATTGCATTCAACTCGCAGAGTTGAACATTCCTTTTGATACAGCAGATTTGAAACTCTCTTTTTGTAGAATCTGCAAGTGGATATGTGGACCTCTGTGAAGATATCTTTGGAAACGGGAATATCTTCACATAAAAAATAAACAGAAGCATTCTCTGAGACTTCTTTGTGAGGCTTGTGGTCAACTCCCAGAGTTTAACATTGCTTTTCATAGAGCAGTTCTGAAGCATCCTTTTCGTAGAGTCTGCAAGTGGACATTTACAGCGCTTCCAGGCATGTGGTGGACAAGTAATATCCTTCACATAAAAACTAGGGAGAAGCATTGTCAGAAACTTCTTTGTGATGATTGCATTGAACTCCGGAGTTAAAGATTCCTTTTGATACAAAAGTTTGGAATCATTCTTTCGGTGGAATCTGCAAGCGGATAATTGGACCTCTTTGAAGATTTCTATGGATAAGGAATAATCTTCCCATAAAAGCTACACAGAAGTATTCTCAGAAACTTCTTTGTGGTGTTTGCATTCAAGTCACAGAGTTGGACTTTATTTTTGATAGATCAGCCTTGATACCCTCTCTTTCTAGAATCTGCAAATGGACATTTGGAGGGCTTCCAGGCCTGTGGTGGGAAAGGAAATATCTTCTCATAAAAGCTAGATGGAAGCATTCTCAGAAACTACTTTTTTGATGATTGCGTTCAAGTCACAGAGATGAACATTCCCTTTGATAGAGCCGTTTGGAAAGACTCTTTTGGTAGAATCTGAAAGGGGAGATTTGGACCGCTTTCAGGCCTACGGCAGCTGATGTAATATCTACTTATAAAGACTAGACAGTAGTATTCTCAGGAAACAATTTGTGACGATTGAGTTCTTCTCACAGAGCTGAACATTCCTTTGGATGGAGCAGTTTCAGAACACACTTTTTGTAGAATCTGCAAGTGGATGTTTGGACCTCTCTGAGGATTTCGTTGGAAACGGGAGAAACCTCACCTATCTAAACAGAAGCATTCTCAAAACCTTCTTCGTGATGTTTGAATTTAACTCACAGTAGTGAACCTTCCTCTGATAGTTCAGGTTTTAAACACTCTTTCTGTAGAATATGCCAGTGGAGATTTGGACCTCCTTTGAGGCCTATCGCATTAAAGGGAATATCTTCATCTAAAAAAAGACTGATGCCTTCTCACAAAATCTTTGTGATAATGGAGTTAAATCCCAGAGCCTACATTCCTTTGGAAGGAGCAGTTTCGAAACACCATTTTTTAGAATATGAAGCGGATATTCGGACTCCCCGAAGGATTCATTGAAAAGGGATAAACCTCCCTTAACTAAAAGAAAATTCCCCAAACTTTTTTTGTGAGGTGCATTCCCCTCAAGAGTTTAACTTCCCTTTGGAAATGGGGGGAAAACTCCTTTTTTAAAATCGCAAGGGGAAATTGACCGCTTTGCGCCTACGGAAAAAAGGAAAAATTTCCGAAAAAATGGACAAAGCTTTCCCAAAAAAT
>NC_000001.11:121972291-121974357 GCF_000001405.40 Homo sapiens | reverse complement strand
CAGGCCTGAAAGCCTCCAAGTCCCATGGAGGTTTAGAAAAGAAATTTTCAAACTGTTTATGAAAAGCATGTATACTCGGGAGTTGACCCCAGCTCACAAAGGAGTTTTGAGAAAGCTCTGTTTACTTTTACGGGAGGATATTCCCGTTTCAAAGAAGTCTCACAGGAGTTCCACCTATCCATTGGCAGATGCTAGCAAAAGAGAGTTTCAAAACTGCTCCATCCAAAGGAATGTTCAACTCTGTGAGTTGCAGGCAATCATCACAGAGAAGTTTCTGAGAAGGCTTCTGTCTAGATNTTATGTGAAGATACGGCCGTTTCGAACGAAGGCCACAAAGCGCTCNCAATATCCACTTGCAGGTCCTCCAAAAAGAGTGTTTCAAACGTGAACTACCAAAGGAAGGCTCAACTCTGGACTTTGAATGCCAACGTCAGAAGGATGTTTCTGCGAAAGCTTCTGTTTAGTTAGGTGACGTTATCCCGTTTCCAACGAAATCCTCAGAGAGGTTCAAATATCCACCTGCAGAGTCTACAAAAAGTGTGTTTCAAAACTGCTCCACCCAAAGGAATGTTCAGCTCTGTGAGTTGAACTCAATCATCCCAAAGTATTTTCTGAAAATGCTTCTGTCCAGTTTTTACATGAAGCTGTTTCCTTTACTACCGTAGGCCTCAAAGCGTTCCAAACCTCCACTTGCAGATACTACGAAAAGAGCGTTTCAACATGAACTCACAAGGGAAGGTTCAACTCTGCCAGTTGAATGCCAACATCAAGAAGAACTTCTGAGAATGTTCCTCTTCAGTTACGTGAGGTTTATCCCCTTTCCAACGAAATTCTCAGAGAAGTCCCAAAATCCACTTCCATATTCCACAAAAGGTGTGTTTTGAAAATGCGCCATCAAAAGATATGCTCAGCTCTGTGAGTTAAACTCAATCATCGCAAAGTATTTTCTGAGAATGCTTCCGTCTTGTTTTTAGATGAAGTTCTTTCCTTTACTACGATAGGCCTCAAGGAGGTCCAAATGTCCACTTGCAGATTCTGCAGAAGGAGTGTTTCAAACCTGAACTGTCAGAGAAAGGTTCAACACTGTGAGTTGAATGCACGCATCACGAAGAAGGTTCTGAGAATGCTTCTGTTTACGTAGGTGACTTTTCTCCCGTATCCAACGAAATCCTCAGAGCGGTCCAAATCTCCACTTGCAGATTCTACACAAAGTGTGTTTGGAAACTGCTTCACCCAAAGGAATGTTCAGCTCTGTGAGTTGAACTCAATCGTCACAAAGCGTTTCCTGGGAATGCTCCTGTCTCGCTTTTATGTGCAGTTATATCCTCTACTGCCATAGGCCTCAAAGCGGTCCAAATCTCCCCTTTCAGATTCTACCAAAAGTGTGTTTCCAAACGGCCCCATCAAAGGGGATGTTCAACTCGGTGACTTGAATGCAATCATCACAAAGCAGCTTCTGAGAATGCTTCCATGTAGGTTTGATGAGAAGATATTTCCTTTTCCACCCCAGGCCTCGAAGCCCTCCAAATGTCCCCTTGCAGATGCTAGAAAGAGGGGGTTTCAAAGCTGCTCTATCAAAAGGAAAGTACAACTCTGTGAGTTGAATGCAAACATCACAAGGAAGTTCCTGAGCATGCTTCCGTTTAGCTTTTACGGGAAGATTATCCCTTTTCCATCGAAATGTTCGAAGAGGTCCACATATCCGCTTGCAGATTCCACCGAAAGAGTGTTTCCAAACTGCTGCATCCAAAGGAATCCTCAGCTCCGTGAGTTGGATGCAATCATCACCAAGAAGTTTCTGACAATGCTTCTCTCTAAGTTTTATGTGAAAGATATTTCTTTTTCCACCGCAGGCCTGAAAGCGCTCCAAATGTCCACTTTGGAGCTCCACAAAAAGAATGTTTCAAAACTGCTCCATGAAAAAGCATGTTATAACTCTGGGATTGGAACCAAGCCCTCCAAAGGAATTCCGGAAAAGCCTCCGTTTACTTTTACGGAGGAAATTCCGTTTCCAAGAAGCCTTCAGAGTTCCCCTATCCATTGCGATCTAGCAAAGAAATTTCAAA
>NC_000001.11:121968920-121972191 GCF_000001405.40 Homo sapiens | reverse complement strand
ACTGCTCTATCAAAAGGAATGTTCACCTCTGTGAGTTGCGTGCAATCATCACAGAGAAGTTTCTGAGAAGGCTTCTGTCTAGATTTTATGTGAAGATATAGCCGTTTCGAACGAAGGCCACAAAGTGCTCCAAATATCCACTTGCAGGTCCTCCAAAAAGAGTGTTTCAAACGTGAACTACCAAAGGAAGGCTCAACTCGGGACTTTGAAGGCCAACGTCAGAAGGATGTTTCTGCGGAAGCTTCTGTTTAGTTAGGTGACGTTATCCCGTTTCCAACGAAATCCTCAGAGAGGTCCAAATATCCACCTGCAGAGTCTACAAAAAGTGTGTTTCAAAACTGCTCCACCCAAAGGAAGGTTCAGCTCTGTGAGTTGAACTCAATCATCCCAAAGTATTTTCTGAGAAGGCTTCTGTCCAGTTTTTACATGAAGCTGTTTCCTTTACTACTGTAGGCCTCAAAGCGTTCCAAACCTCCACTTGCAGATACTACGAAAAGAGCGTTTCAACCTGAACTCACAAGGGAAGGTTCAACTCTGTCAGTTGAATGCCAACGTTACCAAGAACTTCTGAGAATGTTCCTCTTCAGTTATGTGAGGTTTATCCCGTTTCCCACGAAATTCTCAGAGAAGTCCCTAAATCCACTTGCATATTCCACAAAAGGTGTGTTTGTAAAATGCGCCATCAAAAGATATGCTCAGCTCTGTGAGTTAAACTCAATCATCGCAAAGAATTTTCTGAGAATGCTTCCGTCTTGTTTTTAGATGAAGTTCTTTCCTTTACTACGACAGGCCTCAAAGAGGTCCAAATCTCCACTGGCAGATTCTGCAGAAGGAGTGTTTCAAACCTGAACTGTCAGAGAAAGGTTCAACACTGTGAGTTGAATGCAAGCATCACGAAGAAGGTTCTGAGAATGCTTCTGTTTACGTAGGTGACTTTTCTCCCGTATCCAGCGAAATCCTCAGAGCGGTCCAAATCTCCACTTGCAGATTCTACACAAAGTGTGTTTGGAAACTGCTCCACCCAAAGGAATGTTCAGTTCTGTGAGTTGAACTCAATCGTCACAAAGCGTTTCCTGGGAATGTTCCTGTCTCGCTTTTATGTGCAGTTATATCCTCTACTGCCATAGGCCTCAAAGCGGTCGAAATCTCCCCTTTCAGATTCTACCAAAAGTGTGTTTCCTAACGGCCCCATCAAAGGGGATGTTCAACTCGGTGACTTGAAAGCAATCATCACAAAGCAGCTTCTGAGAATGCTTCCATGTAGCTTTGATGAGAAGATATTTCCTTTTCCACCCCAGGCCTCAAAGCCCTCCAAATGTCCCCTTGCAGATGCTAGAAAGAGGGGGTTTCAAAGCTGCTCTATCAAAAGGAAAGTACAACTCTGTGAGTTGAATGCAAACATCACAAGGAAGTTCCTGAGCATGCTTCCGTTTAGCTTTTACGGGAAGATTATCCCTTTTCCATCGAAATGTTCAAAGAGGTCCACATATCCGCTTGCAGATTCCACCGAAAGAGTGTTTCCAAACTGCTGCATCCAAAGGAATCCTCAGCTCCGTGAGTTGAATGCAATCATCACCAAGAAGTTTCTGACAATGCTTCTCTCTAGTTTTTATGTGAAGATATTTCCTTTTCCAACGCAGGCCTGAAAGTGACCCAAATGTCCACTTGGAGGCACTACGAAAAGAATGTTTCAAAACTGCTCTATGAAAAGCAATGTTATACTCTGGGAGTTGAACACAAGCCTCACAAAGGAGTTTCTGAGAATGCTTCTGTTTACTTTTTACGTGAGGATATTCCCGTTTCCAAAGAAGTCTTCACAGAGTTCCACCTATCCATTTGCAGATGCTAGCAAAACTAGAGAGTTTCAAAACTGCTCTATCAAAAGGAATGTTCAACTCTGTGAGTTGCATGCAATCATCACAGAGAGGTTTCTGAGAAGGCTTCTGTCTAGATTTTATGTGAAGATATAGCCGTTTCGAACGAAGGCCACAAAGTGCTCCAAATATCCACTGGCAGGTCCTCCAAAAAGAGTGTTTCAAACGTGAACTACCAAAGGAAGGCTCAACTCTGGACTTTGAATGCCAACGTCAGAAAGATGTTTCTGCGAAAGCTTCTGTTTAGTTAGGTGACGTTATCCCGCTTCCAACGAAATCCTCAGAGAGGTCCAAATATTCACCTGCAGAGTCTCCAAAAGTGTGTTTCAAAACTGCTCCACCCAAAGGAATGTTCAGCTCTGTGAGTTGAACTCAATCATCCCAAAGTATTTTCTGAGAATGCTTCTGTCCAGTTTTTACATGAAGCTGTTTCGTTTACTACCATAGGCCTCAAAGCGTTCCAAATCTCCACTTGAAGATAGTACGAAAAGAGGGTTTCAACCTGAACTCACAAGGGAAGTTTCAACTCTGTCAGTTGAATGCCAACATCACAAAGAAGTTCTGAGAGTGTTCCTCTTCAGTTATGTGAGGTTTATCGCGTTTCCAACGAAATTCTCTGAGAAGTCCCAAAATCCACTTGCATATTCTACAAAAAGTGTGTTTTGAAAATGCGCCATCAAAAGATATGCTCAGCTCTGTGAGTTAAACTCCATCATCGTAAAGAATTTTCTGAGAATGCTTCTGTCTTGTTTTTAGATGAAGGTCTTTCCTTTACTACGATAGGCCTCAAAGAGTTCCAAATCTCCACTTGCAGATTCTGCAGGAGGAGTGTTTCAAACCTGAAATGTCAGAGAAAGGTTCAACACTGTGAGTTGAATGCAAGCATCACGAAGAAGGTTCTGAGAATGCTTCTGTTTACGTAGGTGAGTTCTCTCCCGTATCCAACGAAATCCTCAGAGGGGTCCAAATCTCCTCTTGCAGATTCTACACAAAGTGTGTTTGGAAACTGCTCCATCCAAAGGAATGTTCAGCTCTGTGAGTTGCACTCAATCGTCACAAATTGTTTCCTGGGAATGCTCCTGTCTCGTTTTTATGTGCAGTTATATCCTCTACTGTCATGTGCCTCAGAGCGGTCCAAATCTCCCCTTTCAGATTCTAACAAAAGTGTGTTTCCAAACGGCTCCATCAAGGGGAATGTTCAACTCGGTGACTTGAATGCAATCTTCACAAAGCAGCTTCTGAGAATGTTCCATGTAGCTTTGATGAGAAGATATTTCCTTTTCCTCCCCAGGCCTCGAAGCCCTCCAAATGTCCCCGTGCAGATGCTAGAAAGAGAGGGTTTCAAGGCTGCTCAATGAAAAGGAAAGTACAACTCTGTGAGTTGAATGCAAACATCA
>NC_000001.11:121965933-121968820 GCF_000001405.40 Homo sapiens | reverse complement strand
TCTTCTGTCAGCAGAATATGAGAATCCCGTTTCCAAGAAAGCCTCAAAGAGGTCTGAATATCCCCTTGCAGACTTTACAAACAGAGTGTTTCCTAACTGCTCTATGAAAAGAAAGGTTAAACTCTGTGAGTTGAACGCACACATCACAAAGGAGTTTCTGAGAATCATTCTGTCTAGTTTTTATAGGAAGATATTTCCTATTCTACCATTGACCTCAAAGCGGCTGAAATCTCCACTTGCAAATTCCACAACAAGAGTGTTTCAAGTCTGCTCTGTGTAAAGGATCGTTCAACTCTGTGAGTTGAATACACACAACACAAGGAAGTTATTGAGAATTCTTCTGTCTAGCATAATATGAAGAAATCCCGTTTCCAACGAAGGCCTCAAAGGGGTCTGAATATCCACTTGCAGACATTATAAACAGAGTGTTTCCTAACTGCTCTAAGAAAAGAAAGGTTAAACTCTGTGAGTTGAACGCACACATCACAAAGGAGTTTCTGAGAATCATCTGTCTAGTTTCTATACGAAGATATTCCCTTTTCTACCATTGACTTCAAAGCGGCTGAAATCTCCACTTGCAAATTCCACAAAAAGGGTGTTTCAAGTCTGCTCTGTGTAAAGGATCGTTCAACTCTGTGAGTTGAATACACACAACACAAGGAAGTTTCTGAGAATTCTTCTGTCTAGCAGAATATGAAGAAATCCCGTTTCCAACGAAAGCCTCAAAGAGGTCTGAATATCCACTTGCAGACTTTACAAACAGAATGTTTCCTAACTGCTCTATGAAAAGAAAGGTTAAACTCTGTGAGTTGAACGCACTCATCACAAAGGAGTTTCTGAGAATCATTCTGTCTAGTTTCTATAGGAAGATATTTCCTATTCTACCTTTGACCTCAAAGCGGCTGAAATCTCCACTTGCAAATTCCACAAAAAGAGTGTTTCAAGTCTGCTCTGTGTAAAGGATCGTTCAACTCTGTGAGTTGATACACACAACACAAGGAAGTTACTGAGAATTCTTCTGTCTAGCATAATATGAAGAAATCCTGTTTCCAACGAAGGCCTCTAGGAGGTCTGAATATCCACTTGCAGACTTTACAAACAGAGTGTTTCCTAACTGCTCTATGAAAAGAAAGGTTAAAGTCTGTCAGTTGAACGCAAACATCACAAAGGAGTTTCTGAGAATCATTCTGTCTAGTTTTTATAAGAAGATATTTCTTTTTCTACCATTGACCTCAAAGCGGCTGAAATCTCCACTTGCAAATTCCACAAAAAGAGTGCTTCAAGTCTGCTCTGTGTAAAGGATCGTTCAACTCTGTGAGTTCAATACACACAACACAATGAAGTTTCTGAGAATTCTTCTGTCTAGCAGAATATGAAGAAATCCAGTTTCCAAGGAAAGCCTCAAAGAGGTCTGAATATCCACTTGCAGACATTACAGCGTGTTTCCTAACTGCTCTATGAAAAGAAAGGTTAAACTCTGTGAGTTGAACGCACACATCACAAAGGAGTTTCTGATAATCATTCTGTCTAGTTTCTATTGGGAGATATTTCCTATTGAACCATTGACCTCAAAGCGGCTGAAATCTCCACTTGCAAATTCCACAAAAAGAGTGTTTCACGTCTGCTCTGTGTAAAGGATCGTTCAACTCTGTGAGTTCAATACACACAACACAATGAAGTTTCTGAGAATTCTTCTGTCTAGCAGAATATGAAGAAATCCAGTTTCCAAAGAAAGCCTCAAAGAGGTCTGAATATCCCCTTGCAGACTTTACAAACAGAGTGTTTCCTAACTGCTCTATGAAAAGAAAGGTTAAACTCTGTGAGTTGAACGCACACATCACAAAGGAGTTTCTGAGAATCATTCTGTCTAGTCTTTATACGAAGATATTTCCTTTTCTACCATTGACCACAAAGCGGCTGAAATCTCCACTTGAAAATACCAAAAAAAGTGTGTTTCAAGTCTGCTCTGTGTAAAGGATCGTTCAACTCTGTGAGTTGAATACACACAACACAAGGAAGTTACTGAGAATTCTTCTGTCTAGCAGAATATGAAGAAATCCCGTTTCCAACGAAGGCCTCTAGGAGGTCTGAATATCCACTTGCAGACTTTACAAACAGAGTGTTTCCTAAATGCTCTATGAAAAGAAACGTTAAACTCTGTGAGTTGAATGCACACATCATAAAGGAGTTTCTGAGAATCATTCTGTCTAGTTTCTATAGGAAGATATTTCCTATTCTACCATTGACCTCAAAGCGGCTGAAATCTCCACTTGAAATTCCACAAAAAGAGTGTTTCAAGTCTGCTCTGTTTGAAGGATCGTTCAACTCTGTGAGTTGAATACACACAACACAAAGAAGTTACTGAGAATTCTTCTGTCTACCAGAATATGAAGAAATCCCGTTTCCAACGAAGGTCTCAAAGAGGTCTGAATTTCCACTTGCAGACTTTACAAACAGAGTGTTTCCTAACTGCTCTATGAAAAGAAAGGTTAAACTCTGTGAGTTGAACGCACACATCACAAAGGAGTTTCTGAGAATCATTCTGTCTAGTTTCTATACGAAGATATTTCCTTTTCTACCATTGACCTTAAAGCGGCTGAAATCTCCACTTGCAAATTCCACAAAAAGAGTGTTTCAATTCTGCTCTGTTTTAAGGATCGTTCAACTCTGTGAGTTGAATACACACAACACAAGGAAGTTTCTGAGAATTCTCTGTCTAGCAGAATATGAAGAAATCCTGTTTCAACGAAGGCCTCTTAGAAGTCTGAATATCCACTTACAGACTTTANAAACAGAGTGTTTTCCAACTGCTCTATGAAAAAGAAAGNTAAACTCTGGTGATTGAATGCCCACTCCATAAAGAGTTTGTGAGATCATCTGTCTAGTT
>NC_000001.11:121963543-121965833 GCF_000001405.40 Homo sapiens | reverse complement strand
AGAGCTGACATTCTTTTGATGGCGCATTTTCCAACACACCTTTTGTGGAATATGCAAGTGGATTTTGGGACTTCTCTGAGAATTTCGTTGGAAACGGGATAAACCACACGTAACTGAAGAGGAACATTCTCAGAAGTTCTTGGTGATGTTGGCATTCAACTGACAGAGTTGAACCTTCCCTTGTGAGTTCAGGTTGAAACGCTCTTTTCGTAGTATCTGCAAGTGGAGGTTTGGAACGCTTTGAGTCCTACGGTAGTACAGGAAACAGCTTCATGTAAAAACTGGACAGAAGCATTCTCAGAAAATACTTTGCGATGATTGAGTTCAACTCACAGAGCTGAACATTCCTTTGGGTGGAGCATTTTTGAAACACACTTTTTGTAGACTCTACAGGTGGATATTTGGACCTCTCAGAGGATTTCGTTGGAAACGGGATAACGTCACCTAACTAAAGAGAAGCTTTCGCAGAAACATCCTTCTGACGTTGGCCTTCAAAGTCCAGAGTTGAGCCTTCCTTTGGTAGTACACGTTTGAAACACTCTTTTTGGAGGACCTGCAAGTGGATATTTGGAGCACTTTGTGGCCTTCGTTCGAAACGGCTATATCTTCACATAAAATCTAGACAGAAGCCTTCTCAGAAACTTCTCTGTGATGATTGCATGCAACTCACAGAGTTGAACATTCCTTTTGATGGAGCAGTTTTGAAACTCTCTTTTGCTAGCATCTGCAAATGGATAGGTGGAACTCTGTGAAGACTTCTTTGGAAACGGGAATATCCTCACGTAAAAAGTAAACAGAAGCATTCTCAGAAACTCCTTTGTGAGGCTTGTGTTCAACTCCCAGAGTATAACATTGCTTTTCATAGAGCAGTTTTGAAACATTCTTTTCGTAGAGCCTCCAAGTGGACATTTGGAGCGCTTTCAGGCCTGCGGTGGAAAAGGAAATATCTTCACATAAAATCTAGAGAGAAGCATTGTCAGAAACTTCTTGGTGATGATTGCATTCAACTCACGGAGCTGAGGATTCCTTTTGATGCAGCAGTTTGGAAACACTCTTTCGGTGGAATCTGCAAGCGGATATGTGGACCTCTTTGAACATTTCGATGGAAAAGGGATAATCTTCTCGTAAAAGCTAAACGGAAGCATGCTCAGGAACTTCCTTGTGATGTTTGCATTTCACTCACAGAGTTGTACTTTCCTTTTGATAGAGCAGCTTTGAAACCCCCTCTTTCTAGCATCGGCAAGGGGACATTTGGAGGGCTTCGAGGCCTGGGGTGGAAAAGGAAATATCTTCTCATCAAAGCTACATGGAAGCATTCTCAGAAGCTGCTTTGTGATGATTGCATTCAAGTCACCGAGTTGAACATCCCCTTTGATGGGGCCGTTTGGAAACACACCATTGGTAGAATCTGAAAGGGGAGATTTGGACCGCTTTGAGGCCTATGGCAGTAGAGGATATAACTGCACATAAAAGCGAGACAGGAGCATTCCCAGGAAACGCTTTGTGACGATTGAGTTCAACTCACAGAGCTCAACATTCGTTTGGGTGGAGCAGTTTCCAAACACACTTTGTGTAGAATCTGCAAGTGGAGATTTGGACCGCTCTGAGGATTTCGTTGGATACGGGAGAAAAGTCACCTACGTAAACAGAAGCATTCTCAGATCCTTCATCGTGATGCTTGCATTCAACTCACAGTGTTGAACCTTTCTCTGACAGTTCAGGTTTGAAACACTCCTTCTGCAGAATCTGCAAGTGGAGATTTGGACCTCCTTGAGGCCTATCGTAGTAAAGGAAAGAACTTCATCTAAAAACAAGACGGAAGCATTCTCAGAAAATTCTTTGCGATGATTGAGTTTAACTCACAGAGCTGAGCATATCTTTTGATGGCGCATTTTCCAAACACACCTTTTGTGGAATATGCAAGTGGATTTTGGGACTTCTCTGAGAATTTCGTTGGAAACGGGATAAACCTCACGTAACTGAAGACGAACATTCTCAGAAGTTCTTGGTGATGTTGGCATTCAACTGACAGAGTTGAACCTTCCCTTGTGAGTTCAGGTTGAAACGCTCTTTTCGTAGTATCTGCAAGTGGAGGTTTGGAACGCTTTGAGGCCTACNGGTAGTAAGGAACAGCTTCATGNTAACACTGGACAGAAGCATTCTCAGAAAATACTTTTTGGATGATGAGTTTCACTCACAGAGCTGAACATTCCTTNGNGTGNAGCAGTTTGAANCACACTTTTGTAGATCTGCAGGTGGAATTTGGACTCTCTGANGATTCGTNGAAACG
>NC_000001.11:121958115-121963443 GCF_000001405.40 Homo sapiens | reverse complement strand
TTGCTAGCTCGCAAATGATAGTGGACTCTGTGAGACTCTTNGGAACGGGAATATCTNCACGTANNAAGTNAACAGAGCATTTCTCTGNAACTCCTTTGTGAGGCTTGTGTTCAACTCCCAGAGTATAACATAGCTTTCATGGGAGCAGTTNTGAAACATTCTTTTCGTAGAGCCTCCAAGTGGACATTTGGAGCCCTTTCAGGCCTGTGGTGGATAAGGAAATATCTTCACATAAAAACTAGAGAGAAGCATTGTCAGAAACTTCTTGGTGATGATTGCATTCAACTCACGGAGCTGAGGATTCCTTTTGATGCAGCAGGTTGGAAACACTCTTTCGGTGGAATCTGCAAGCGGATATGTGGACCTCTTTGAACATTGCGATGGAAAAGGGATAATCTTCCCGTAAAAGCTAAACGGAAGCATGCTCAGGAACTTCTTTGTGATGTTTGCATTCAACTCGCAGAGTTGTACTTTCCTTTTGATAGAGCAGCTTTGAAACCCTCTCTTTCTAGCATCTGCAAGGGGACATTTGGAGGGCTTCGAGTCCTGGGGTGGAAAAGGAAATATCTTCTCATCAAAGCTACATGGAAGCATTCTCAGAAGCTGCTTTGTGATGATTGCTTTCAAGTCACCGAGCTGAATATTCTCTTTGATGGAGCCGTTTGGAAACACACTTTTGGTAGAATCTGAAAGGGGAGATTTGGACCGCTTTGAGGCCTATGGCAGTAGAGGATATAACTGCACATAAAAACGAGACAGTAGCATTCGCAGGAAACACTTTGTGACGATTGAGTTCAACTCACGGAGCTGAACATTCCTTTGGATGGAGCAGTTTCCAAACACACTTTGTGTAGAATCTGCAAGTGGAGATTCGGACCGCTCTGAGGATTTCGTTGGATAAGGGAGAGAATTCACCTACGTAAACAGAAGCATTCTCAGAACCTTCTTCGTGATGCTTGCATTCAACTCACAGTGTTGAACCTTCCTCTGACGGTTCAGGTTTGAAACACTCCTTCTGCAGAATCTGCAAGTGGAGATTTGGACCTCTTTGAGGCCTGTCGTAGTAAAGGAAAGAACTTCATCTAAAAATAAGACAGAAGCATTCTCAGAAAATTCTTTGCGATGATTGAGTTTAACTCACAGAGCTGAGCAGGTCTTTTGATGGAGCATTTTCAAAACACACGTTTTGTAGAATATGCAAGTGGATATTGGGACTTCTCTGAGAATTTCGTTGGAAACGGGATAAACCTCACATAACTGAAGAGGAACATTCTCAGAACTTCTTTGTGATGTTGACATTCAACTGACAGAGGTGAACCTTCCCTTGTGAGTTCAGGTTGAAACGCTCCTTTCGTAGCATCTGCCAGTGGAGATTTGGAACGCTTTGAGGCCTACGGTAGTAAAGGAAACAGCTTCATGTAAAAACTGGACAGAAGCATTCTCAGAAAATACTTTGGGATGATTGAGTTCAACTCACAGAGCTGAACATTCCTTTGGGTGGAGCAGTTTTGAAACACACTTTTTGTAGACTCTGCAGGTGGATATTTGGACCTCTCTGAGGATTTCGTTGGAAACGGGATAACGTCGCCTAACTAAACAGAAGCTTTCGCAGAAACATCCTTCTGACGTTGGCATTCAAAGTCCAGAGTTGAGCCTTCCTTTGGTAGTTCACGTTTGAAACACTCTTTTTGGAGGACCTGCAAGTGGATATTTGGAGCACTTTGTGGCCTTCGTTCGAAACGGCTATATCTTCACATAAAATCTAGACAGAAGCCTTCTCAGAAACTTCTCTGTGATGATTGCATGCAACTCACAGAGTTGAACATTCCTTTTGATAGAGCAGTTTTGAAACTCTGTTTTGCTAGCATCTGCAAATGGATAGGTGGAACTCTGTGAGGACTTCTTTGGAAACGGGAATATCCTCACGTAAAAAGTAAACAGAAGCATTCTCAGAAACTCCTTTGTGAGGCTTGTGTTCAACTCCCAGAGTATAACATTGCTTTTCATGGAGCAGTTTTGAAACATTCTTTTCGTAGAGCCTCCAAGTGGACATTTGGAGCCCTTTCAGGCCTGTGGTGGATAAGGAAATATCTTCACATAAAAACTAGAGAGAAGCATTGTCAGAAACTTCTTGGTGATGATTGCATTCAACTCACGGAGCTGAGGATTCCTTTTGATGCAGCAGTTTGGAAACACTCTTTCGGTGGAATCTGCAAGCGGATACGTGGACCTCTTTGAACATTCCGATGGAAAAGGGATAATCTTCCCATAAAAGCTAAACGGAAGCATGCTCAGGAACTTCTTTGTGATGTTTGCATTCAACTCGCAGAGTTGTACTTTCCTTTTGATAGAGCAGCTTTGAAACCCTCTCTTTCTAGCATCTGCAAGGGGACATTTGGAGGGCTTCGAGGCCTGGGGTGGAAAAGGAAATGTCTTCTCATCAAAGATACATGGAAGCATTCTCAGAAGCTGCTTTGTGATGATTGCTTTCAAGTCACCGAGCTGAACATTGCCTTTGATGGAGCCGTTTGGAAACACACTTTTGGTAGAATCTGAAAGGGGAGATTTGGACCGCTTTGAGGCCTATGGCAGTAGAGGATATAACTGCACATAAAAATGAGACAGTAGCATTCCCAGGAAACACTTTGTGACGATTGAGTTCAACTCACGGAGCTGAACATTCCTTTGGATGGAGCAGTTTCCAAACACACTTTGTGTAGAATCTGCAAGTGGAGATTCGGACCGCTCTGAGGATTTCGTTGGATACGGGAGAGAACTCACCTACGTAAACAGAAGCATTCTCAGAACCTTCTTCGTGATGCTTGCATTCAACTCACAGTGTTGAACCTTCCTCTGACGTTTCAGGTTTGAAACACTCCTTCTGCAGAATCTGCAAGTGGAGATTTGGACCTCTTTGAGGCCTGTCGTAGTAAAGGAAAGAACTTCATCTAAAAACAAGACAGAAGCATTCTCAGAAAATTCTTTGCGATGATTGAGTTTAACTCACAGAGCTGAGCAGGTCTTTTGATGGAGCATTTTCAAAACACACGTTTTGTAGAATATGCAAGTGGATATTGGGACTTCTCTGAGAATTTCGTTGGAAACGGGATAAACCTCACATAACTGAAGAGGAACATTCTCAGAACTTCTTTGTGATGTTGACATTCTACTGACAGAGGTGAACCTTCCCTTGTGAGTTCAGGTTGAAACGCTCCTTTCGTAGCATCTGCAAGTGGAGATTTGGAACGCTTTGAGGCCTACGGTAGTAAAGGAAACAGCTTCATGTAAAAACTGGACAGAAGCATTCTCAGAAAATACTTTGGGATGATTGAGTTCAACTCACAGAGCTGAACATTCCTTTGGGTGGAGCAGTTTTGAAACACACTTTTTGTAGACTCTGCAGGTGGATATTTGGACCTCTCTGAGGATTTCGTTGGAAACGGGATAACGTCGCCTAACTAAACAGAAGCTTTCGCAGAAACATCCTTCTGACGTTGGCATTCAAAGTCCAGAGTTGAGCCTTCCTTTGGTAGTTCACGTTTGAAACACTCTTTTTGGAGGACCTGCAAGTGGATATTTGGAGCACTTTGTGGCCTTCGTTCGAAACGGCTATATCTTCACATAAAATCTAGACAGAAGCCTTCTCAGAAACTTCTCTGTGATGATTGCATGCAACTCACAGAGTTGAACATTCCTTTTGATAGAGCAGTTTTGAAACTCTCTTTTGCTAGCATCTGCAAATGGATAGGTGGAACTCTGTGAAGACTTCTTTGGAAACGGGAATATCCTCACGTAAAAAGTAAACAGAAGCATTCTCAGAAACTCCTTTGTGAGGCTTGTGTTCAACTCCCAGAGTATAACATTGCTTTTCATGGAGCAGTTTTGAAACATTCTTTTCGTAGAGCCTCCAAGTGGACATTTGGAGCCCTTTCAGGCCTGTGGTGGATAAGGAAATATCTTCACATAAAAACTAGAGAGAAGCATTGTCAGAAACTTCTTGGTGATGATTGCATTCAACTCACGGAGCTGAGGATTCCTTTTGATGCAGCAGTTTGGAAACACTCTTTCGGTGGAATCTGCAAGCGGATACGTGGACCTCTTTGAACATTCCGATGGAAAAGGGATAATCTTCCCATAAAAGCTAAACGGAAGCATGCTCAGGAACTTCTTTGTGATGTTTGCATTCAACTCGCAGAGTTGTACTTTCCTTTTGATAGAGCAGCTTTGAAACCCTCTCTTTCTAGCATCTGCAAGGGGACATTTGGAGGGCTTCGAGGCCTGGGGTGGAAAAGGAAATGTCTTCTCATCAAAGATACATGGAAGCATTCTCAGAAGCTGCTTTGTGATGATTGCTTTCAAGTCACCGAGCTGAACATTCCCTTTGATGGAGCCGTTTGGAAACACACTTTTGGTAGAATCTGAAAGGGGAGATTTGGACAGCTTTGAGGCCTATGGCAGTAGAGGATATAACTGCACATAAAAATGAGACTGTAGCATTCCCAGGAAACACTTTGTGACGATTGAGTTCAACTCACGGAGCTGAACATTCCTTTGGATGGAGCAGTTTCCAAACACACTTTGTGTAGAATCTGCAAGTGGAGATTCGGACCGCTCTGAGGATTTCGTTGGATACGGGAGAGAACTCACCTACGTAAACAGAAGCATTCTCAGAACCTTCTTCGTGATGCTTGCATTCAACTCACAGTGTTGAACCTTCCTCTGACGGTTCAGGTTTGAAACACTCCTTCTGCAGAATCTGCAAGTGGAGATTTGGACCTCTTTGAGGCCTGTCGTAGTAAAGGAAAGAACTTCATTTAAAAACAAGACAGAAGCATTCTCAGAAAATTCTTTGCGATGATTGAGTTTAACTCACAGAGCTGAGCAGGTCTTTTGATGGAGCATTTTCAAAACACACGTTTTGTAGAATATGCAAGTGGATATTGGGACTTCTCTGAGAATTTCGTTGGAAACGGGATAAACCTCACATAACTGAAGAGGAACATTCTCAGAACTTCTTTGTGATGTTGACATTCAACTGACAGAGGTGAACCTTCCCTTGTGAGTTCAGGTTGAAACGCTCCTTTCGTAGCATCTGCAAGTGGAAATTTGGAACGCTTTGAGGCCTACGGTAGTAAAGGAAACAGCTTCATGTAAAAACTGGACAGAAGCATTCTCAGAAAATACTTTGGGATGATGAGTTTCACTCACAGAGCTGAACATTCCTTTTGGTGGAGCAGTTGAACACACTTTTTGTAGACTCTGCAGGTGGATATTTGGACTCTCTGAGGATTTCGTGGAACGGGATACGTCGCCTACTAAACGAAGCTT
>NC_000001.11:121955719-121958015 GCF_000001405.40 Homo sapiens | reverse complement strand
TCACAGAGTGTACTTCCTTTGATGAGCAGTTTGAACCCTTTCTTTTAGCTCTGCAGGGACATTGAGGGCTTCGAGNCTGGGGTGGAAAAGGAATATCTNTTCTTCAAAGCTACATGGAGCATCTCAGAACTGCTTGTGAGATGCATCAAGTCACGAGTGACATTCCTTGATGGAGCGTTTGAAACACACTTTGTAGATTTGAAAGGGGAGATTTGGACCGCTTTGAGGCCTATGGCAGTAGAGGATATAACTGCACATAAAAAGGAGACAGGAGCATTCCCAGGAAACACTTTGTGACGATTGAGTTCAATTCACAGAGCTGAACATTCCTTTGGATGGAGCAGTTTCAAAACACACTTTTTGTAGAATCTGCAAGTGGAGATTTGGACCGCTCTGAGGATTTCATTGGATACGGGAGAAAACTCACCTATGTAAACAGAAGCATTCTCAGAACCTTCTTCGTGATGCTTGCATTCAACTCACAGTGTTGAACCTTTCTCTGATAGTTCAGGTTTGAAACACTCCTTCTGCAGAATCTGCAAGTGGAGATTTGGACCTCTTTGAGGCCTATCGTAGTAAAGGAAAGAACTTCATCTAAAAACAAGACAGAAGTATTCTCAGAAAATTCTTTGTGATGATTGAGTTTAACTCACAGAGCTGAGCATATCTTTTGATGGATACGGGAGAAAACTCACGTATGTAAACAGAAGCATTCTCAGAACCTTCTTCCTGATGCTTGCATTCAACTCACAGTGTTGAACCTTTCTCTGATAGTTCAGGTTTTAAACACTCCTTCTGCAGAATCTGCAAGTGGAGATTTGGACCTCTTTGAGGCCTATCGTAGTAAATGAAAGAACTTCATCTAAAAACAAGACAGAAGCATTCTCAGAAAATTCTTTGTGATGATTGGGTTTAACTCACAGAGCTGAGCATATCTTTTGATGGATACGGGAGAAAACACACCTATGTAAACAGAAGCATTCTCAGAACCTTCTTCGTGATGCTTGCATTCAACTCACAGTGTTGAACCTTTCTCTGATAGTTCAGGTTTTAAACACTCCTTCTGCAGAATCTGCAAGTGGAGATTTGGACCTCTTTGAGGCCTATCGTAGTAAAGGAAAGAACTTCATCTAAAAACAAGACAGAAGCATTCTCAGAAAATTCTTTGTGATGATTGAGTTTAACTCACACAGCTGAGCATATCTTTTGATGGATACGGGAGAAAACTCACCTATATAAACAGAAGCATTCTCAGAACCTTCTTCGTGATGCTTGCATTCAACTCACAGTGTTCAACCTTTCTCTGATAGTTCAGGTTTTAAACACTCCTTCTGCAGAATCTGCAAGTGGAGATTTGGACCTCTTTGAGGCCTATCGTAGTAAAGGATATAACCTCATCTAAAAACAAGACAGAAGCATTCTCAGAAAATTCTTTGTGATGATTGAGTTTAACACACAGAGCTGAGCATATCTTTTGATGGAGCATTTTCAAAACACACTTTTTGTAGAATATGCAAGTGGATATTTGGACTTCCCTGAGAATTTCGTGGGAAACGGGATAAACCTCACATAACTGAAGAGAAACATTCTCAGAACTTCTTTGTGATGTTGGCATTCAACTGATAGAGTTGAACCTTCCCTTGTGAGTTCAGGTTGAATCGCTCTTTTCGTAGTATCTGCAAGTGGAGATTTGGAACGCTTTGAGGCCTACGGTAGTAAAGGAAACAGCTTCATGTAAAAACTGGACAGAAGAATTCTCAGAAAATACTTTGGGATGATTGAGTTTAACTCACAGAGCTGAACATTCCTTTTGGTGGAGCAGTTTTGAAACACACTTTTTGTAGACTCTGCAGGTGGATATTTGGACCTCTCTGAGGATTTCGTTGGAAACGGGATAACGTCACCTAACTAAACAGAAGCTTTCGCAGAAAAATCTTTCTGACGTTTGCATTCAAAGTCCAGAGTGGAGCCTTCCTTTTGTAGTTCACGTTTGAAACACTCTTTTTGGAGGACCTGCAAGTGGATATTTGGAGCACTTTGTGGCCTTCTTTCGAAACGGCTATATCTTCACATAAAATCTAGACAGAAGCCTTCTCAGAAACTTCTCTGTGATGATTGCATGCNACTCACAGAGTTGAACATTCCTTTTGATAGAGCAGCTTTGAAACCCTCTCTTTCTAGCATCTGCAAGNGGACATTTGGAGGGCTTCGAGGCCTGGGGTGGAAAAGGAAATATCCTCTCATCAAAGCTACATGGAAGCATTCTCAGAAACTGGTTTGTGATGATTGCATTCAA
>NC_000001.11:121953408-121955619 GCF_000001405.40 Homo sapiens | reverse complement strand
AGGTTTTAACACTCCTTCTGCAGAATCTGCAAGTGGAGATTTGGACCTCTTTGAGGCCTATCGTAGTAAAGGATATAACCTCATCTAAAAACAAGACAGAAGCATTCTCAGAAAATTCTTTGTGATGATTGAGTTTAACACACAGAGCTGAGCATATCTTTTGATGGAGCATTTTCAAAACACACTTTTTGTAGAATATGCAAGTGGATATTTGGACTTCCCTGAGAATTTCGTGGGAAACGGGATAAACCTCACATAACTGAAGAGAAACATTCTCAGAACTTCTTTGTGATGTTGGCATTCAACTGATAGAGTTGAACCTTCCCTTGTGAGTTCAGGTTGAATCGCTCTTTTCGTAGTATCTGCAAGTGGAGATTTGGAACGCTTTGAGGCCTACGGTAGTAAAGGAAACAGCTTCATGTAAAAACTGGACAGAAGAATTCTCAGAAAATACTTTGGGATGATTGAGTTTAACTCACAGAGCTGAACATTCCTTTTGGTGGAGCAGTTTTGAAACACACTTTTTGTAGACTCTGCAGGTGGATATTTGGACCTCTCTGAGGATTTCGTTGGAAACGGGATAACGTCACCTAACTAAACAGAAGCTTTCGCAGAAAAATCTTTCTGACGTTTGCATTCAAAGTCCAGAGTGGAGCCTTCCTTTGGTAGTTCACGTTTGAGACACTCTTTTTGGAGGACCTGCAAGTGGATATTTGGAGCACTTTGTGGCCTTCGTTCGAAACGGCTATATCTTCACATAAAATCTAGACAGAAGCCTTCTCAGAAACTTCTCTGTGATGATTGCATGCAACTCACAGAGTTGAACATTCCTTTTGATAGAGCAGTTTTGAAACTCTCTTTTGCTAGCATCTGCAAATGGATAGGTGGAACTCTGTGAAGACTTCTTTTGAAACGGGAATATCCTCACGTAAAAAGTAAACAGAAGCATTCTCAGAAACTCCTTTGTGAGGCTTGTGTTCAACTCCCAGAGTATAACATTGCTTTTCATAGAGCAGTTTAGAAACATTCTTTTCGTAGAGCCTCCAAGTGGACATTTGGAGCGCTTTCAGGCCTGTGGTGGAAAAGGAAATATCTTCACATAAAAACTAGAGAGAAGCATTGTCAGAAACTTCTTGGTGATGATTGCATTCAACTCACGGAGCTGAGGATTCCTTTTGATGCAGCAGTTTGGAAACACTCTTTCGGTGGAATCTGCAAGCGGATATGTGGACCTCTTTGAACATTTCGATGGAAAAGGGATAATCTTCCCATAAAAGCTAAACGGAAGCATGCTCAGGAACTTCTTTGTGATGTTTGCATTCAACTCGCAGAGTTGTACTTTCCTTTTGATAGAGCAGCTTTGAAACCCCCTCTTTCTAGCATCTGCAAGGGGACATTTGGAGGGCTTCGAGGCCTGGGGTGGAAAAGGAAATATCTTCTCATCAAAGCTACATGGAAGCATTCTCAGAAGCTGCTTTGTGATGATTGCATTCAAGTCACCGAGTTGAACATCCCCTTTGATGGGGCCGTTTGGAAACACACTTCTGGTAGTATCTGAAAGGGGAGATTTGGACCGCTTTGTGGCCTATGGCAGTAGAGGATATAACTGCACATAAAAGCGAGACAGGAGCATTCCCAGGAAACGCTTTGTGACGATTGAGTTCAACTCACGGAGCCGAACATTCCTTTGGGTGGAGCAGTTTCCAAACACAATTTGTGTAGAATCTGCAAGTGGAGATTTGGACCGTTCTGAGGATTTCGCTGGATACGGGAGAAAAGTCACCTACGTAAACAGAAGCATTCTCAGAACCTTCTTCGTGATGCTTCCATTCAACTCACAGTGTTGAACCTTTCCCTGACAGTTCAGGTTTGAAACACTCCTTCTGCAGAATCTGCAAGTGGAGATTTGGACCTCTTTGAGGCCTATCGTAGTAAAGGAAAGAACTTCATCTAAAAACAAGACAGAAGCATTCTCAGAANATTCTTTGCGATGATTGAGTTTAGCTCACAGAGCTGAGCATATCTTTTGATGGCGCATTTTCCAAACACACCTTTTGTGGAATATGCAGTGGATTTTGGGACTTTCTGAAAATTCGTTGGAACGGGATAACCTCAATAATGAAGAGGACATCTCAGAACTCTTGTGATGTTGCATTCACTGACAAGTGAACTTCCCTGTGAGTCAAGTTGAAGCTCTTTCGACTATCTGCA
>NC_000001.11:121950394-121953308 GCF_000001405.40 Homo sapiens | reverse complement strand
ATTTGGACTCTCTGAGATTCGTTGGAACGGGATAACGTCGCCTAACTAAACAGAAGCTTTCGCAGGAACATCTCTCTGACGTTGGCATTCAAAGTCCACAGTTGAGCCTTCCTTTGGTAGTTCACGTTTGAAACACTCTTTTTGGAGGACCTGCAAGTGGATATTTGGAGCACTTTGTGGCCTTCGTTCGAAACGGCTATATCTTCACATAAAATCTAGACAGAAGCCTTCTCAGAAACTTCTCTGTGATGATTGCATGCAACTCACAGAGTTGAACATTCCTTTTGATAGAGCAGTTTTGAAACTCTCTTTTGCTAGCATCTGCAAATGGATAGGTGGAACTCTGTGAAGACTTCTTTGGAAACGGGAATATCCTCACGTAAAAAGTAAACAGAAGCATTCTCAGAAACTCCTTTGTGAGGCTTGTGTTCAACTCCCAGAGTATAACATTGCTTTTCATGGAGCAGTTTTGAAACATTCTTTTCGTAGAGCCTCCAAGTGGACATTTGGAGCGCTTTCAGGCCTGTGGTGGATAAGGAAATATCTTCACATAAAAACTAGAGAGAAGCATTCTCAGAAACTTCTTGGTGATGATTGCATTCAACTCACGGAGCTGAGGATTCCTTTTGATGCAGCAGTTTGGAAACACTCTTTCGGTGGAATCTGCAAGCGGATATGAGGACCTCTTTGAACATTCCGATGGAAAAGGGATAATCTTCCCGTAAAAGCTAAACGGAAGCATGCTCAGGAACTTCTTTGTGATGTTTGCATTCAACTCGCAGAGTTGTACTTTCCTTTTGATAGAGCAGCTTTGAAACCCTCTCTTTCTAGCATCTGCAAGGGGACATTTGGAGGGCTTCGAGGCCTGGGGTGGAAAAGGAAATATCTTCTCATCAAAGCTACATGGAAGCATTGTCAGAAGCTGCTTTGTGATGATTGCTTTCAAGTCACCGAGCTGAACATTCCCTTTGATGGAGCCGTTTGGAAACACACTTTTGGTAGAATCTGAAAGGGGAGATTTGGACCGCTTTGAGGCCTATGGCAGTAGAGGATATAACTGCACATAAAAACGAGACAGTAGCATTCCCAGGAAACACTTTGTGACGATTGAGTTCAACTCACGGAGCTGAACATTCCTTTGGATGGAGCAGTTTCCAAACACACTTTGTGTAGAATCTGCAAGTGGAGATTCGGACCGCTCTGAGGATTTCGTTGGATACGGGAGAGAACTCACCTATGTAAACGGAAGCATTCTCAGAACTTTCTTCGCGATGCTTGCATTCAACTCACAGTGTTGAACCTTTCTCTGACAGTTCAGGTTTGAAACACTCCTTCTGCAGAATCTGCAAGTGGAGATTTGGACCTCTTTGAGGCCTGTCGTAGTAAAGGAAAGAACTTCATCTAAAAACAAGACAGAAGCATTCTCAGAAAATTCTTTGCGATGATTGAGTTTAACTCACAGAGCTGAGCAGGTCTTTTGATGGAGCATTTTCAAAACACACGTTTTGTAGAATATGCAAGTGGATATTGGGACTTCTCCGAGAATTTCGTTGGAAACGGGATAAACCTCACATTACTGAAGAGGAACATTCTCAGAACTTCTTTGTGATGTTGACATTCAACTGACAGAGGTGAACCTTCCCTTGTGAGTTCAGGTTGAAACGCTCTTTTCGTAGCATCTGCAAGTGGAGATTTGGAACGCTTTGAGGCCTACGGTAGTAAAGGAAACAGCTTCACGTAAAAACTGGACAGAAGCATTCTCAGGAAATACTTTGGGATGATTGAGTTCAACTCACAGAGCTGAACATTCCTTTGGGTGGAGCAGTTTTGAAACACACTTTTTGTAGACTCTGCAGGTGGATATTTGGACCTCTCTGAGGATTTCGTTGGAAATGGGATAACGTCGCCTAACTAAACAGAGGCTTTCGCGGAAACATCTTTCTGACGTTGGCATTCAAAGTCCACAGTTGAGCCTTCCTTTGGTAGTTCACGTTTGAAACACTCTTTTTGGAGGACCTGCAAGTGGATATTGGAGCACTTTGTGGCCTTCGTTCGAAACGGCTATATCTTCACATAAAATCTAGACAGAAGCCTTCTCAGAAACTTCTCTGTGATGATTGCATGCAACTCACAGAGTTGAACATTCCTTTTGATAGAGCAGTTTTGAAACTCTCTTTTGCTAGCATCTGCAAATGGATAGGTGGAACTCTGTGAAGACTTCTTTGGAAACGGGAATATCCTCACGTAAAAAGTAAACAGAAGCATTCTCAGAAACTCCTTTGTGAGGCTTGTGTTCAACTCCCAGAGTATAACATTGCTTTTCATGGAGCAGTTTTGAAACATTCTTTTCGTAGAGCCTCCAAGTGGACATTTGGAGCGCTTTCAGGCCTGTGGTGGATAAGGAAATATCTTCACATAAAAACTAGAGAGAAGCATTCTCAGAAACTTCTTGGTGATGATTGCATTCAACTCACGGAGCTGAGGATTCCTTTTGATGCAGCAGTTTGGAAACACTCTTTCGGTGGAATCTGCAAGCGGATATGTAGACCTCTTTGAACATTCCGATGGAAAAGGGATAATCTTCCCGTAAAAGCTAAACGGAAGCATGCTCAGGAACTTCTTTGTGATGTTTGCATTTCACTCGCAGAAGTGTACTTTCCTTTTGATAGAGCAGCTTTGANACCCTCTCTTTCTAGCATCTGCAAGGGGACATTTGGAGGGCTTCGAGGCCTNGGGGTGGAAAAGGAAATATCTTCTCATGAAAGCTACATGGAAGCATTCTCAGAAGCTGCTTTGTGATGATTGCTTTCCAGTCACCGAGCTGAACATTCCCTTTGATGGAGCCGTTGGAACCCACTTCCGTAGATCTGAAAAGGGAAATTGGAACGTTTGAGGCTATGGCGTAGAGGATAAA
>NC_000001.11:121947082-121950294 GCF_000001405.40 Homo sapiens | reverse complement strand
CTGTCGTAGTAAGGATAGAACTTCATCTAAAAACAAGACAGAAGCATTCTCAGAAAATTCTTTGCGATGATTGAGTTTAACTCACAGAGCTGAGCAGGTCTTTTGATGGAGCATTTTCAAAACACACGTTTTGTATAATATGCAAGTGGATATTGGGACTTCTCTGAGAATTTCGTTGGAAACGGGATAAACCTCACATAACTGAAGAGGAACATTCTCAGAACTTCTTTGTGATGTTGACATTCAACTGACAGAGGTGAACCTTCCCTTGTGAGTTCAGGTTGAAACGCTCTTTTCGTAGCATCTGCAAGTGGAGATTTGGAACGCTTTGAGGCCTACGGTAGTAAAGGAAACAGCCTCATGTAAAAACTGGACAGAAGCATTCTCAGGAAATACTTTGGGATGATTGAGTTCAACTCACAGAGCTGAACATTCCTTTGGGTGGAGCAGTTTTGAAACACACTTTTTGCAGACTCTGCTGGTGGATATTTGGACCTCTCCTAGGATTTCGTTGGAAACGAGATAACGTCGCCTAACTAAACAGAAGTTTTCGCAGAAACATCTTTCTGACGTTGGCATTCAAAGTCCACAGTTGAGCCTTCCTTTGGTAGTTCACGTTTGAAACACTCTTTTTGGAAGTCCTGCAAGTGGATATTGGAGCACATTGTGGTCTTCGTTCGAAACAGCTATATCTTCACATAAAATCTAGACAGAAGCCTTCTCAGAAACTTCTCTGTGATGATTGCATGCAACTCACAGAGTTGAACATTCCTTTTGATAGAGCAGTTTTGAAACTCTCTTTTGCTAGCATCTGCAAATGGATAGGTGGAACTCTGTGAAGACTTCTTTGGAAACGGGAATATCCTCACGTAAAAAGTAAACAGAAGCAATCTCAGAAACTCCTTTGTGAGGCTTGTGTTCAACTCCCAGAGTATAACATTGCTTTTCATGGAGCAGTTTTGAAACATTCTTTTCATAGAGCCTCCAAGTGGACATTTGGAGCCCTTTCAGGCCTGTGGTGGTTAAGGAAATATCTTCACATAAAAACTAGAGAGAAGCATTCTCAGAATCCTCTTGGTGATGATTGCATTCAACTCACGGAGCTGAGGATTCCTTTTGATGCAGCAGTTTGGAAACACTCTTTCGGTGGAATCTGCAAGCGGATATGTGGACCTCTTTGAACATTCTGATGGAAAAGGGATAATCTTCCCGTAAAAGCTAAACAGAAGCATGCTCAGGAACTTCTTTGTGATGTTTGCATTCAACTCGCAGAGTTGTACTTTCCTTTTGATATAGCAGCTTTGAAACCCTCTCTTTCTAGCATCTGCAAGGGGACATTTGGAGGGCTTCGAGGCCTGGGGTGGAAAAGGAAATATCTTCTCATCAAAGCTACATGGAAGCATTCTCAGAAGCTGCTTTGTGATGATTGCTTTCAAGTCACCGAGCTGAACATTCCCTTTGATGGAGCCGTTGGGAAACACAATTTTGGTAGAATCCTAAAGGGGATATTTGGACAGCTTTGAGGCCTATGGCAGTAGAGGATATAACTGCACATAAAAACGAGACAGTAGCATTCCCAGGAAACACTTTGTGACGATTGAGTTCAACTCACGGAGCTGAACATTCCTTTGGATGGAGCAGTTTCCAAACACACTTTGTGTAGAATCTGCAAGTGGAGATTCGGACCGCTCTGAGGATTTCGTTGGATACGGGAGAGAACTCACCTACGTAAACGGAAGCATTCTCAGAACCTTCTTCGTGATGCTTGCATTCAACTCACAGTGTTGAACCTTTCTCTGACAGTTCAGGTTTGAAACACTCCTTCTGCAGAAAATGCAAGTGGAGATTTGGACCTCTTTGAGGCCTGTCGTAGTAAAGGAAAGAACTTCATCTAAAAACAAGACAGAAGCATTCTCAGAAAATTCTTTGCGATGATTGAGTTTAACTCACAGAGCTGAGCAGGTCTTTTGATGGAGCATTTTCAAAACACACGTTTTGTAGAATATGCAAGTGGATATTGGGACTTCTCTGAGAATTTCGTTGGAAACGGGATAAACCTCACATAACTGAAGAGGAACATTCTCAGAACTTCTTTGTGATGTTGACATTCAACTGACAGAGGTGAACCTTCCCTTGTGAGTTCAGGTTGAAACACTCTTTTCGTAGCATCTGCAAGTGGAGATTTGGAACGCTTTGAGGCCTACGGTAGTAAAGGAAACAGCTTCATGTAAAAACTGGACAGAAGCATTCTCAGAAAATACTTTGGGATGATTGAGTTCAACTCACAGAGCTGAACATTCCTTTGGGTGGAGCAGTTTTGAAACACACTTTTTGTAGACTCGGCTGGTGGATATTTGGACCTCTCTGAGGATTTCGTTGGAAACGGGATAACGTCGCCTAACTAAACAGAAGCTTTCGCAGGAACATCTCTCTGACGTTGGCATTCAAAGTCCACAGTTGAGCCTTCCTTTGGTAGTTCACGTTTGAAACACTCTTTTTGGAGGACCTGCAAGTGGATATTTGGAGCACTTTGTGGCCTTCGTTCGAAACGGCTATATCTTCACATAAAATCTAGACAGAAGCCTTCTCAGAAACTTCTCTGTGATGATTGCATGCAACTCACAGAGTTGAACATTCCTTTTGATAGAGCAGTTTTGAAACTCTCTTTTGCTAGCATCTGCAAATGGATAGGTGGAACTCTGTGAAGACTTCTTTGGAAACGGGAATATCCTCACGTAAAAAGTAAACAGAAGCATTCTCAGAAACTCCTTTGTGAGGCTTGTGTTCACTCCCAGAGTATAACATTGCTTTTCATGGAGCAGTTTTGAACATTCTTTTCGTAGAGCCTCCAAGTGGACATTTGGAGCGCTTTCAGGCCTGTGGTGGATAAGGAAATATCTTCNCATAAAAACTAGAGAGAAGCATTCTCAGAAACTTCTTGGTGATGATTGCATTCNACTCACGGAGCTGAGGATTCCTTTTGATGCAGCAGTTTGGAACACTCTTTCGGTGAATCTGCAAGCGGATATGAAGACCTCTTTGAACATCCGATGGAAAGGGATATCTTCCGTAAAACCTAACGGAAGCTGCTCAGGACTTCTTTGTAATGTTGCATCAACTCGCAGAGTGTACTTTCTTTTGAAAAGCACTTTAAAACCTCCTTCCTACATCCGCAGGGGAATTTGAGGGTTCCAGGCCTGGGGGAAAAGGAA
>NC_000001.11:121944380-121946982 GCF_000001405.40 Homo sapiens | reverse complement strand
AATCCTCAGAGACGTCCAAATATCCACCTGCAGAGTCTACAAAAAGTGTGTTTCAGAACTGCTCCACCCAAAGGAATGTTCAGCTCTGTGAGTTGAACTCAATCATCCCAAAGTATTTTCTGAGAATGCTTCTGTCCAGTTTTTACATGAAGCTGTTTCCTTTACTACCGTAGGCCTCAAAGCGTTCCAAACCTCCACTTGCAGATACTACGAAAAGAGCGTTTCAACTTGAACTCACAAGGAAAGGTTCAACTCTCTCAGTTGAATGCCAACATCACAAAGAAGTTCTGAGAATGTTCCTCTTCAGTTATGTGAGGTTTATCCCGTTTCCAACGAAATTTTCAGAGAAGTCCCAAAATCCACTTGCATATTCTACAAAAGGTGTGTTTTGAAAATGCGCCATCAAAAGATAGGCTCAGCTCTGTGAGTTAAACTCAATCATCGCAAAGAATTTTCTGAGAATGCTTCTGTCTTGTTTTTAGATGAAGTTCTTTCCTTTACTACGATAGGCCTCAAAGAGGTCCAAATCTCCACTTGCAGATTCTGCAGAAGGAGTGTTTCAAACCTGAACTGTCAGAGAAAGGTTCCACACTGTGAGTTGAATGCAAGCATCACGAAGAAGGTTCTGAGAATGCTTCTGTTTACGTAGGTGACTTTTCTCCCGTATCCAACGAAATCCTCAGAGCGGTCCAAATCTCCACTTGCAGATTCTACACAAAGTGTGTTTGGAAACTGCTCCATCCAAAGGAATGTTCAGCTCTGTGAGTTGCACTCAATCGTCACAAAGTGTTTCCTGGGAATGCTCCTGTCTCGTTTTTATGTGCAGTTATATCCTCTACTGCCATAGGCCTCAAAGCGTTCCAAATCTCCCCTTTCAGATTCTACCAAAAGTGTGTTTCCAAACGGCTCCATCAAAGGGAGTGTTCATCTCGGTGACTTGAATGCAATCATCACAAAGCAGCTTCTGAGAATGCTTCCATGTAGCTCTGATGAGAAGATATTTCTTTTTCCACCCCAGGCCTCGAAGCCCTCCAAATGTCCCCTTGCAGATGCTAGAAAGAGGGGGTTTCAAAGCTGCTCTATCAAAAGGAAAGTACAACTCTGTGAGTTGAATGCAAACATCACAAGGAAGTTCCTGAGCATGCTTCCGTTTAGCTTTTACGGGAAGATTATCCCTTTTCCATCGAAATGTTCAAAGAGGTCCACATATCCGCTTGCAGATTCCACCGAAAGAGTGTTTCCAAACTGCTGCATCCAAACGAATCCTCAGCTCCGTGAGTTGAATGCAATCATCACCAAGAAGTTTCTGACAATGCTTCTCTCTAGTTTTTATGTGAAGATATTTCCTTTTCCACCACAGGCCTGAAAGCGCTCCAAATGTCCACTTGGAGGCTCTACGAAAAGAATGTTTCAAAACTGCTCTATGAAAAGCAATGTTATACTCTGGGAGTTGAACACAAGCCTCACAAAGGAGTTTCTGAGAATGCTTCTGTTTACTTTTTACGTGAGGATATTCCCGTTTCCAAAGAAGTCTTCACAGAGTTCCACCTATCCATTTGCAGATGCTAGCAAAACTAGAGAGTTTCAAAACTGCTCTATGAAAAGGAATGTTCAACTCTGTGAGTTGCATGCAATCATCACAGAGAAGTTTCTGAGAAGGCTTCTGTCTAGATTTTATTTGAAGATATAGCCGTTTCAAACGAAGGCCACAAAGTGCTCCAAATAGCCACTTGCAGGTCCTCCAAAAAGAGTGTTTCAAACGTGAACTACCAAAGGAAGGCTAAACTGTGGACTTTGAAGGCCAACGTCAGAGAGATGTTTCTGCGAAAGCTTCTGTTTAGTTAGGTGACGTTATCCCGTTTCCAACGAAATCCTCAGTGACGTCCAAATATCCACCTGCAGAGTCTACAAAAAGTGTGTTTCAGAACTGCTCCACCCAAAATAATGTTCAGCTCTGTGAGTTGAACTCAATCATCCCAAAATAGTTTCTGAGAATGCTTCTGTCCAGTTTTTACATGAAGCTGTTTCCTTTACTACCGTAGGCCTCAAAGCATTCCAAACCTCCACTTGCAGATACTACGAAAAGAGCGTTTCAACCTGAACTCACAAGGGAAGGTTCAACTCTGTCAGTTGAATGCCAACATCACCAAGAAATTCTGAGAATGTTCCTCTTCAGTTATGTGAGGTTTATCCCGTTTCCAACGAATTTCTCAGAGAAGTCCCAAAATCCACTTGCATATTCTACAAAAGGTGTGTTTTGAAAACGCGCCATCAAAAGATATGCTCAGCTCTGTGAGTTAAACTCAATCATCGCAAAGAATTTTCTGAGAATGCTTCTGTCTTGTTTTTAGATGAAGTTCTTTCCTTTACTACGATAGGCCTCAAAGAGGTCCAAATCTCCACTTGCAGATTCTGCAGAAGGAGTGTTCAAACCTGACTGTCAGAGAAACCTCACACTGTGGGTTGATGCAGCATCACGAGAAGGTTCTGAGATGCTCTGTTACGTAGGTGAGTTTCTCCCGTATCCCACGAATCCTCCGAGCGGCCCAATCTCCCTTGCAGATCTACACAAGGGGGTTGAAACCGCCCATCCAAGGAATGT
>NC_000001.11:121940635-121944280 GCF_000001405.40 Homo sapiens | reverse complement strand
CTCAAAGGTGTCAAATTTCCCTTAAAATAGTACGAAAGAGGGTTTCACCGAGATTCCAAGGGATTTTCAACTCTGCAGGTGAAGGCAACATACCAAAGAATTTTGAGAGGGTCCTCTTCAGAAAAGGGAGGTTAGAGCGTTTCCAAGGAATTTTTTGAGAGTTCCCAAATTCACTTGAAATTCTACAAAAAGTTGTTTGAAAATGGGACCTCAAAAGATATGTTCAGCTCTGGGAGTTAAACTCCATCATCGTAAAGGATTTTCTGAGAATGCTTCTGTCTTGTTTTTAAATGAAGGTCTTTCCTTTACTACGATAGGCCTCAAAGAGTTCCAAATCTCCACTTGCAGATTCTGCAGGAGGAGTGTTTCAAACCTGAAATGTCAGAGAAAGGTTCAACACTGTGAGTTGAATGCAAGCATCACGAAGAAGGTTCTGAGAATGCTTCTGTTTACGTAGGTGAGTTCTCTCCCGTATCCAACGAAATCCTCAGAGGGGTCCAAATCTCCTCTTGCAGATTCTACACAAAGTGTGTTTGGAAACTGCTCCATCCAAAGGAATGTTCAGCTCTGTGAGTTGCACTCAATCGTCACAAATTGTTTCCTGGGAATGCTCCTGTCTCGTTTTTATGTGCAGTTATATCCTCTACTGTCATGTGCCTCAGAGCGGTCCAAATCTCCCCTTTCAGATTCTAACAAAAGTGTGTTTCCAAACGGCTCCATCAAGGGGAATGTTCAACTCGGTGACTTGAATGCAATCTTCACAAAGCAGCTTCTGAGAATGTTCCATGTAGCTTTGATGAGAAGATATTTCCTTTTCCTCCCCAGGCCTCGAAGCCCTCCAAATGTCCCCGTGCAGATGCTAGAAAGAGAGGGTTTCAAGGCTGCTCAATGAAAAGGAAAGTACAACTCTGTGAGTTGAATGCAAACATCACAAAAAGTTCCTGAGCATGCTGCCGTTTAGCTATTACGGGAAGATTATCCCTTTTCCAACGAAATGTTCAAAGAGGTCCACATATCCGCTTGCAGATTCCACAGAAAGAGTGGTTCCAAACTGCTGCATCAAAAGGAATCCTCACCTCCGTGAGTTGAATGCAATCATCACCAAGAAGTTTCTGACAATGCTTCTCTCTAGTTTTTATGTGAAGATATTTCCTTTTCCACCACAGGCCTGAAAGCACTCCAAATGTCCACTTGGAGGCTCTACGAAAAGAATGTTTCAAAACTGCTCTATGAAAAGCAATATTATACTCTGCGAGTTGAACACAAGCCTCACAAAGGAGTTTCTGAGAATGCTTCTGTTTACTTTTTACGTGAGGATATTCCCGTTTCCAAAGAAGTCTTCACAGAGTTCCACCTACCCATTTGCAGATGCTAGCAAAAGAGAGTTTCAAAACTGCTCTATCAAAAGGAATGTTCAACTCTGTGAGTTGCATGCAATCATCACAGAGAAGTTTCTGAGAAGGCTTCTGTCTAGATTTTATGTGAAGATATAGCCGTTTCGAACGAAGGCCACAAAGTGCTCCAAATATCCACTTGCAGGTCCTCCAAAAAGAGTGTTTCAAACGTGAACTACCAAAGGAAGGCTCAACTCTGGACTTTGAATGCCAACGTCAGAAAGATGTTTCTGCGAAAGCTTCTGTTTAGTTAGGTGACGTTATCCCGCTTCCAACGAAATCCTCAGAGAGGTCCAAATATCCACCTGCAGAGTCTCCAAAAGTGTGTTTCAAAACTGCTCCACCCAAAGGAATGTTCAGCTCTGTGAGTTGAACTCAATCATCCCAAAGTATTTTCTGAGAATGCTTCTGTCCAGTTTTTACATGAAGCTGTTTCGTTTACTACCATAGGCCTCAAAGCATTCCAAATCTCCACTTGAAGATAGTACGAAAAGAGCGTTTCAACCTGAACTCACAAGGGAAGGTTCAACTCTGTCAGTTGAATGCCAACATCACAAAGAAGTTCTGAGAGTGTTCCTCTTCAGTTATGTGAGGTTTATCCCGTTTCCAACGAAATTCTCTGAGAAGTCCCAAAATCCACTTGCATATTCTACAAAAGGTGTGTTTTGAAAATGCGCCATCAAAAGATATGCTCAGCTCTGTGAGTTCAACTCAATCATCGCAAAGAATTTTCTGAGAATGCTTCTGTCTTGCTTTTAGATGAAGTTCTTTCCTTTACTACGATAGGCCTCAAAGAGGTCCAAATCTCCACTTGCAGATTCTGCAGAAGGTGTGTTTCAAACCTGAACTGTCAGAGAAAGGTTCAACACTGTGAGTTGAATGCAAGCATCACGAAGAAGGTTCTGAGAATGCTTCTGTTTACATAGTTGACTTTTCTCCCGTATCCAGCGAAATCCTCAGAGCGGTCCAAATCTCCACTTGCAGATTCTACACAAAGTGTGTTTGGAGACTGCTCCATCCAAAGGAATGTTCAGCTCTGTGAGTTGAACTCAATCGTCACAAAGTGTTTCCTGGGAATGCTCCTGTCTCGCTTCTATGTGCAGTTATATCCTCTACTGCCATAGGCCTCAAAGCGGTCCAAATCTCCCCTTTCAGATCCTACCAAAAGTGTGTTTCCAAACGGCTCCATCAAAGGGAATGTTCAACTCGCTGACTTGAATGCAATCATCCCAAAGCAGCTTCTGAGAATGCTTCCATGTAGCTTTGATGAGAAGATATTTCCTTTTCCACCCCAGGCCTCGAAGCCCTCCAAATGTCCCCTTACAGATGCTAGAAAGAGGGGGTTTCAAAGCTGCTCTATCAAAAGGAAAGTACAACGCTGTGAGTTGAATGCAAACATCACAAGGAAGTTCCTGAGCATGCTTCCGTTTAGCTTTTACGGGAAGATTATCCCTTTTCCATCGAAATGTTCAAAGAGGTCCACATATACGCTTGGAGATTCCACCGAAAGAGTGTTTCCAAACTGCTGCATCAAAAGGAATCCTCAGCTCCGTGAGTTGAATGCAATCATCACCAAGAAGTTTCTGACAATGCTTCTCTCTAGTTTTTATGTGAAGATATTTCCTTTTCCACCACAGGCCTGAAAGCGCTCCAAATGTCCACTTGGAGGCTCTACGAAAAGAATGTTTCAAAACTGCTCTATGAAAAGCAATGTTATACTCTGGGAGTTGAACACAAGCCTCACAAAGGAGTTTCTGAGAATGCTTCTGTTTACTTTTTACGTGAGGATATTCCCGTCTCCAAAGAAGTCTTCACAGAGTTACACCTATCCATTTGCAGATGCCAGCAAAACTAGAGAGTTTCAAAACTGCTCTATCAAAAGGAATGTTCAACTCTGTGAGTTGCGTGCAATCATCACAGAGAAGTTTCTGAGAAGGCTTCTGTCTAGATTGTATGTGAAGATATAGCCGTTTCGAACGAAGGCCACAAAGTGCTCCAAATATCCACTTGCAGGTCCTCCAAAAAGAGTGTTTCAAACGTGAACTACCAAAGGAAGGCTCAACTCGGGACTTTGAAGACCAACGTCAGAAGGATGTTTCTGCGGAAGCTTCTGTTTAGTTAGGTGACGTTATCCCGTTTCCAACGAAATCCTCAGAGAGGTCCAAATATCCACCTGCAGAGTCTACAAAAAGTGTGTTTCAAAACTGCTCCACCCAAAGGAAGGTTCAGCTCTGTGAGTTGAACTCATCAT
>NC_000001.11:121935205-121940535 GCF_000001405.40 Homo sapiens | reverse complement strand
CTTTGGGGGAGCAGTTTGAAACCCCTTTTTTTAGGCTTTGCAGGGGGATATTGGGCCTCTCGGAGGATTTCTTGGAAACGGAATACGTCGCCTAACTAAACAGAAGTTTTCGCAGAAACATCGGTATGACGTTGGCATTCAAAGTCCAGAGTTGAGCCTTCCTTTGGTAGTTCACGTTTGAAACACTCTTTTGGGAGGACCTGCAAGTGGATATTTGGAGCACTTTGTGGCCTTCGTTCGAAACGGCTATATCTTCAAATAAAATCTAGACAGAAGCCTTCTCAGAAACTTCTCTGTGATGATNGCATGCAACTCACAGAGTTGAACATTCCTTTTGATAGAGCAGTTTTGAACTCTCTTTTGCTAGCATCTGCAAATGGATAGGTGGAACTCTGTGAAGACTTCTTTGGAAATGGGAATATCCTCACGTAAAAAGTAAACAGAAGCATTCTCAGAAACTCCTTTGTGAGGCTTGTGTTCAACTCCCAGAGTATAAC
This sequence comes from Homo sapiens, assembly GCF_000001405.40. Taxonomy (NCBI): domain Eukaryota; kingdom Metazoa; phylum Chordata; class Mammalia; order Primates; family Hominidae; genus Homo; species Homo sapiens. Next base: position 121,940,038 of record NC_000001.11, on the reverse strand, counting down.
ATTGCTTTTCATGGAGCAGTTTTGAAACATTCTTTTCGTAGAGCCTCCAAGTGGACATTTGGAGCCCTTTCAGGCCTGTGGTGGATAAGGAAATATCTTCACATAAAAACTAGAGAGAAGCATTGTCAGAAACTTCTTGGTGATGATTGCATTCAACTCACGGAGCTGAGGATTCCTTTTGATGCAGCAGTTTGGAAACACTCTTTCGGTGGAATCTGCAAGCGGATACGTGGACCTCTTTGAACATTCCGATGGAAAAGGGATAATCTTCCCATAAAAGCTAAACGGAAGCATGCTCAGGAACTTCTTTGTGATGTTTGCATTCAACTCGCAGAGTTGTACTTTCCTTTTGATAGAGCAGCTTTGAAACCCTCTCTTTCTAGCATCTGCAAGGGGACATTTGGAGGGCTTCGAGGCCTGGGGTGGAAAAGGAAATATCTTCTCATCAAAGCTACATGGAAGCATTCTCAGAAGCTGCTTTGTGATGATTGCATTCAAGTCACCGAGTTGTACATTCCCTTTGATGGAGTCGTTTGGAAACACACTTTTGGTAGAATCTGAAAGGGGATATTTGGACCGCTTTGAGGCCTATGGCAGTAGAGGACATAACTGCACATAAAAACGAGACAGTGGCATTCCCAGGAAACACTTTGTGACGATGGAGATCAACTCACAGAGCTGAACATTCCTTTGGATGGAGCAGTTTCCAAACACACTTTGTGTAGAATCTGCAAGTGGAGATTCGGACCGCTCTGAGGATTTCGTTGGATACGGGAGAGAACTCACCTACGTAAACAGAAGCATTCTCAGAACCATCTTCGTGATGCTTGCATTCAACACACAGTGTTGAACCTTTCTCTGATAGTTCAGGTTTGAAACACTCCTTCTGCAGAATCTGCAAGTGGAGATTTGGACCTCTTTGAGGCCTGTCGTAGTAAAGGAAAGAACTTCATCTAAAAACAAGACAGAAGCATTCTCAGAAAATTCTTTGCGATGATTGAGTTTAACTCACAGAGCTGACATATCTTTTGATGGCGCATTTTCAAAACACACCTTTTGTAGAATAGGCAAGTGGATTTTGGGACTTCTCTGAGAATTTCGTTGGAAACGGGATAAACCTCACATAACTGAAGAGGAACATTCTCAGAACTTCTTTGTGATGTTGGCATTCAACTGACAGAGTTGAACCTTCCCTTGTGAGTTCAGGTTGAAACTCTCTTTTCGTAGTATCTGCAAGTGGAGGTTTGGAACGCTTTCAGGCCTACGGTAGTAAAGGAAACAGCTTCATGTAAAAACTGGACGGAAGCATTCTCAGAAAATACTTTGGGATGATTGAGTTCAACTCACAGAGCTGAACATTCCTTTGGGTGGAGCAGTTCTGAAACACACTTTTTGTAGACTCTGCAGGTGGATACTTGGACCTCTCTGAGGATTTCGTTGGAAGTGGGATAACGTCACCTAACTAAACAGAAGCTTTCGCAGAAACATCCTTCTGACGTTGGCATTCAAAGTCCAGATTTGAGCCTTCCTTTGGTAGTTCACGTTTGAAACACTCTTTTTGGAGGACCTGCAAGTGGATATTTGGAGCACTTTGTGGCCTTCGTTCGAAACGGGTATATCTTCACATAAATTCTAGACAGAAGCCTTCTCAGAAACTTCTCTGTGATGATTGCATGCAACTCACAGAGTTGAACATTCCTTTTGATAGAGCAGTTTTGAAACTCTCTTTTGCTAGCATCTGCAAATGGATAGGTGGAACTCTGTGAAGACTTCTTTGGAAACGGGAATATCCTCACGTAAAAAGTAAACAGAAGCATTCTGAGAAACTCCTTTGTGAGGCTTGTGTTCAACTCCCAGAGTATAACATTGCTTTTCATAGAGCAGTTTTGAAACATTCTTTTCGTAGAGCCTCCAAGTGGACATTTGGAGTGCTTTCAGGCCTGTGGTGGAAAAGGAAATATCTTCACATAAAAACTAGAGAGAAGCATTGTCAGAAACTTCTTGGTGATGATTGCATTCAACTCACGGAGCTGAGGATTCCTTTTGATGCAGCAGTTTGGAAACACTCTTTCGGTGGAATCTGCAAGCGGATATGCGGACCTCTTTGAACATTTCGATGGAAATGGAATAATCTTCCCGTAAAAGCTAAACGGAACCATGCTCAGGAACTTCCTTGTGACGTTTGTATTCAACTCACAGAGCTATACTTTCCTTTTGATAGAGCTACTTTGAAACCCCCTCTTTCTAGCATCTGCAAGGGGACATTTGGAGGGCTTCGAGGCCTGGGGAGGAAAAGGAAATATCTTCTCATCAAAGCTACATGGAAGCATTCTCAGAAGCTGCTTTGTGATGATTGCATTCAAGTCACCGAGTTGAACATTCCCTTTGATGGAGCCGTTTGGAAACACACTTTTGGTAGAATCTGAAAGGGGAGATTTGTACCGTTTTGAGGCCTATGGCAGTAGAGGATATAACTGCACATAAAAACGAGACAGGAGCATTCCCAGGAAACACATTGTGATGCTTGAGTTCAACTCACAGAGCTGAACATTCCTTTGGATGGAGCAGTTTCCAAACACACTTTGTGTAGAATCTGCAAGTGGAGATTTGGACCGCTCTGAGGATTTCGTTGGATACGGGAGAGAAGTCACCTACACAAACAGAAGCATTCTCAGAACCTTCTTCGTGATGCTTGCATTCAACTCACAGTGTTGAACCTTTCTCTGACATTTCAGGTTTGAAACACTCCTCCTGCAGAATCTGCAAGTGGAGATTTGGAACTCTTTGAGGCCTATCGTAGTAAAGGAAAGACCTTCATCTAAAAACAAGACAGAAGCATTCTCAGAAAATTCTTTACGATGATTGAGTTTAACTCACAGAGCTGAGCATATCTTTTGATGGCGCATTTTCAAAACACACTTTTTGTAGAATATGCAAGTGGATTTTGGGACTTCTCAGAGAATTTCGTTGGAAACGCGATAAACCTCACATAACTGAAGAGGAACACTCTCAGAACTTCTTTGTGATGTTGGCATTCAACTGACAGAGTTGAAACTTCCCTTGTGAGTTCAGGTTGAAACCCTCTTTTCGTACTATCTTCAAGTGGAGATTTGGAATGCTTTGAGGCCTATGGTAGTAAACGAAACAGCTTCATGTAAAAACTGGACAGAAGCATTCTCAGAAAATACTTTGGGATGATTGAGTTCAACTCACAGAGCTGAACATTCCTTTGGGTGGAGCAGTTTTGAAACACAATTTTGGAGACTCTGCAGGTGAATATTTGGACCTCTCTGAGGATTTCGTTGGAAGCGGGATAACGTCACCTAACTAAACAGAAGCTTTCGCAGAAACATCTTTCTGACGTTGGCATTCAAAGTCCAGAGTTGAGCCTTCCTTTGGTAGTTCACGTTTGAAACACTCTTTTTGGAGGACCTGCAAGTGGATATTTGGAGCACTTTGTGGCCTTCGTTCGAAACGGCTATATCTTCACATAAAATCTAGACAGAAGCCTTCTCAGAAACTTCTCTGTGATGATTGCATGCAACTCACAGAGTTGAACATTCCTTTTGATAGAGCAGTTTTGAAACTCTCTTTTGCTAGCATCTGCAAATGGGTAGGTGGAACTCTGTGAAGACTTCTTTGGAAACGGGAATATCCTCACGTAAAAAGTAAACAGAAGCATTCTCAGAAACTCCTTTGTGAGACTTGTGTTCAACTCCCAGAGTATAACATTGCTTTTCATAGAGCAGTTTTGAAACATTCTTTTCGTAGAGCCTCCAAGTGGACATTTGGAGCGCTTTCAGGCCTGTGGTGGAAAAGGAAATATCTTCACATAAAAACTAGAGAGAAGCATTGTCAGAAACTTCTTGGTGATGATTGCATTCAACTCACGGAGCTGAGGATTCCTTTTGATGCAGCAGTTTGGAAACACTCTTTCGGTGGAATCTGCAAGCGGATATGTGGACCTCTTTGAACATTTCGATGGAAAAGGGATAATCTTCCCATAAAAGCTAAACGGAAGCATGCTCAGGAACTTCTTTGTGATGTTTGCATTCAACTCGCAGAGTTGTACTTTCCTTTTGATAGAGCAGCTTTGAAACCCTCTCTTTCTAGCATCTGCAAGGGGACATTTGGAGGGCTTCGAGGCCCGGGGTGGAAATGGAAATATCTTCTCATCAAAGCTACATGGAAGCATTCTCAGAAGCTGCTTTGTGATGATTGCATTCAAGTCACCGAGTTGAACTTTCCCTTTGAAGGAGCCGTTTGGAAACACACTTTTGGTAGAATCTGAAAGGGGAGATTTGGACCGCTTTGAGGCCTATGGCAGTAGAGGACATAACTGCACATAAAAACGAGACAGTGGCATTCCCAGGAAACACTTTGTGACGATGGAGATCAACTCACAGAGCTGAACATTCCTTTGGATGGAGCAGTTTCCAAACACACTTTTTGTAGAATCTGCAAGTGGAGATTCGGACCGCTCTGAGGATTTCGTTGGATACGGGAGAGAACTCAACTACGTAAACAGAAGCATTCTCAGAACCATCTTCGTGATGCTTGCATTCAACTCACAGTGTTGAACCTTTCTCTGATAGTTCAGGTTTGAAACACTCCTTCTGCAGAATCTGCAGTGGAGATTTGGACTCTTTGAGGCCTGTCGTAGTAAAGGAAAGACCTTCATCTAAAAAGAAGACAGAAGCATCTCAGAAAATTCTTGCGATGATTGAGTTAACTCACCGAGCTGAGCATATCTTTTGATGGTCATTTTCAAGCCCACTTTTGTAGAATAGCAAGTGATTTTGGGACTCTCTGAAAATTCGTGGAACCGGATAA
>NC_000001.11:121930772-121935105 GCF_000001405.40 Homo sapiens | reverse complement strand
AAAACTGGGAGAGCCATTTCAGAACTTTTGGAGATGATGCCTTAATCACGGGGCGAAGATTCTTTGAAGCACCATTTGGAACATTCTTCGGTGAATCTGCAAGCGGATATGGGACTTCTTGACATTTCGATGAAAAGGGATATCTTCCATTAAAAGTTAACGGAAGCATGCTCAGGAACTCTTTGTGATGTTGCATTCACTCGCAGAGTTGTACTTCCTTTTGATAGAGCAGCTTGAAACCCTCTCTTTCTAGCATCTGCAAGGGGACATTGGAGGGCTTCGAGGCCCGGGGTGGAAATGGAAATATCTTCTCATCAAAGCTACATGGAAGCATTCTCAGAAGCTGCTTTGTGATGATTGCATTCAAGTCACCGAGTTGAACTTTCCCTTTGAAGGAGCCGTTTGGAAACACACTTTTGGTAGAATCTGAAAGGGGAGATTTGGACCGCTTTGAGGCCTATGGCAGTAGAGGACATAACTGCACATAAAAACGAGACAGTGGCATTCCCAGGAAACACTTTGTGACGATGGAGATCAACTCACAGAGCTGAACATTCCTTTGGATGGAGCAGTTTCCAAACACACTTTTTGTAGAATCTGCAAGTGGAGATTCGGACCGCTCTGAGGATTTCGTTGGATACGGGAGAGAACTCAACTACGTAAACAGAAGCATTCTCAGAACCATCTTCGTGATGCTTGCATTCAACTCACAGTGTTGAACCTTTCTCTGATAGTTCAGGTTTGAAACACTCCTTCTGCAGAATCTGCAAGTGGAGATTTGGACCTCTTTGAGGCCTGTCGTAGTAAAGGAAAGACCTTCATCTAAAAAGAAGACAGAAGCATTCTCAGAAAATTCTTTGCGATGATTGAGTTTAACTCACAGAGCTGAGCATATCTTTTGATGGCTCATTTTCAAAGCACACCTTTTGTAGAATAGGCAAGTGGATTTTGGGACTTCTCTGAGAATTTCGTTGGAAACGGGATAAACCTCACTTAACTGAAGAGGAACATTCTCAGAACTTCTTGGTGATGTTGGCATTCAACTGACAGAGTTGAACCTTCCCTTGTGAGATCAGGTTGAAACTCTCTTTTCGTAGTATCTGCAAGTGGAGATTTGGAACGCTTTGAGGCCTACGGTAGTAAAGGAAACAGCTTCATGTAAAAACTGGACAGAAGCATTCTCAGAAAATACTTTGGGATGATTGAGTTCAACTCACAGAGCTGAACATTCCTTTGGGTGGAGCAGTTCTGAAACACACTTTTTGTAGACTCTGCAGGTGGATATTTGGACCTCTCTGAGGATTTCGTTGGAAGCGGATAACGTCACCTAACTAAACAGAAGCTTTTGCAGAAAAATCTCTCTCACATTGGCATTCAAAGTCCAGAGTTGAGCCTTCCTTTGGTTGTTCACGTTTGAAACACTCTTTTGGAGGACCTGCAAGTGGCTATTTGGAGCACTTTTTGGCCTTCGTTCGAAACGGCTATATCTTCACATAAAATCTAGACAGAAGCCTTCTCAGAAACTTCTCTGTGATGATTGCACGCAACTCACAGAGTTGGACATTCCTTTTGATAGAGCAGTTTTGAAACTCTCTTTTGATAGCATCTGCAAATGGATAGGTAAAACTCTGTGAAGACTTCTTTGGAAACGGGAATATCCTCACGTAGAAAGTAAACCGAAGCATTCTCAGAAACTCCTTTGTGAGGCTTGTCTTCAACTCCCAGAGTATAACATTGCTTTTCATAGAGCAGTTTTGAAACATTCTTTTCATAGAGCCTCCAAGTGGACATTTGGAGCGCTTTCAGGCCTGTGGTGGAAAAGGAAATATCTTCACATAAAAACTAGAGAGAAGCATTGTCAGAAACTTCTTGGTGATGATTGCATTCAACTCACGGAGCTGAGGATTCCTTTTGATGCAGCAGTTTGGAAACACTCTTTCGGTGGAATCTGCAAGCGGATATGCGGACCTCTTTGAACATTTCGATGGAAATGGAATAATCTTCCCTTAAAAGCTAAACGGAACCATGCTCAGGAACTTCCTTGTGACGTTTGTATTCAACTCACAGAGATGTACTTTCCTTTGGATAGAGCTACTTTGAAACCCCCTCTTTCTAGCATCTGCAAGGGGACATTTGGAGGGCTTCGAGGCCTGGGGAGGAAAAGGAAATATCTTCTCATCAAAGCTACATGGAAGCATTCTCAGAAGCTGCTTTGTGATGATTGCATTCAAGTCACCGAGTTGAACATTCCCTTTGATGGAGCCGTTTGGAAACACACTTTTGGTAGAATCTGAAAGGGGAGATTTGTACCGTTTTGAGGCCTATGGCAGTAGAGGATATAACTGCACATAAAAACGAGACAGGAGCATTCCCAGGAAACACATTGTGATGCTTGAGTTCAACTCACAGAGCTGAACATTCCTTTGGATGGAGCAGTTTCCAAACACACTTTGTGTAGAATCTGCAAGTGGAGATTTGGACCGCTATGAGGATTTCGTTGGATACGGGAGAGAAGTCACCTACACAAACAGAAGCATTCTCAGAACCTTCTTCGTGATGCTTGCATTCAACTCACAGTGTTGAACCTTTCTCTGACAGTTCAGGTTTGAAACACTCCTCCTGCAGAATCTGCAAGTGGAGATTTGGAACTCTTTGAGGCCTTTCGTAGTAAAGGAAAGACCTTCATCTAAAAACAAGACAGAAGCATTCTCAGAAAATTCTTTGCGATGATTGAGTTTAACTCACAGAGCTGAGCATATCTTTTGATGGCGCATTTTCAAAACACACCTTTTGTAGAATATGCAAGTGGATTTTGGGACTTCTCAGAGAATTTCGTTGGAAACGGGATAAACCTCACATAACTGAAGAGGAACACTCTCAGAACTTCTTTGTGATGTTGGCATTCAACTGACAGAGTTGAACCTTCCCTTGTGAGTTCAGGTTGAAACGCTCTTTTCGTACTATCTTCAAGTGGAGATTTGGAATGCTTTGAGGCCTATGGTAGTAAACGAAACAGCTTCATGTAAAAACTGGACAGAAGCATTCTCAGAAAATACTTTGGGATGATTGAGTTCAACTCACAGAGCTGAACATTCCTTTGGGTGGAGCAGTTTAGAAACACACTTTTGGAGACTCTGCAGGTGGATATTTGGACCTCTCTGAGGATTTCGTTGGAAGCGGGATAACGTCACCTAACTAAACAGAAGCTTTCGCAGAAACATCTTTCTGACGTTGGCATTCAAAGTCCAGAGTTGAGCCTTCCTTTGGTAGTTCACGTTTGAAACACTCTTTTTGGAGGACCTGCAAGTGGATATTTGGAGCACTTTGTGGCCTTCGTTCGAAACGGCTATATCTTCACATAAAATCTAGACAGAAGCCTTCTCAGAAACTTCTCTGTGATGATTGCATGCAACTCACAGAGTTGAACATTCCTTTTGATAGAGCAGTTTTGAAACTCTCTTTTGCTAGCATCTGCAAATGGGTAGGTGGAACTCTGTGAAGACTTCTTTGGAAACGGGAATATCCTCACGTAAAAAGTAAACAGAAGCATTCTCAGAAACTCCTTTGTGAGGCTTGTGTTCAACTCGCAGAGTATAATATTGCTTTTCATAGAGCAGTTTTGAAACATTCTTTTCGTAGAGCCTCCAAGTGGACATTTGGAGCGCTTTCAGGCCTGTGGTGGAAAAGGAAATATCTTCACATAAAAACTAGAGAGAAGCATTGTCAGAAACTTCTTGGTGATGATTGCATTCAACTCACGGAGCTGAGGATTCCTTTTGATGCAGCAGTTTGGAAACACTCTTTCGGTGGAATCTGCAAGCGGATATGCGGACCTCTTTGAACATTTCGATGGAAATGGAATAATCTTCCCTTAAAAGCTAAACGGAACCATGCTCAGGAACTTCCTTGTGACGTTTGTATTCAACTCACAGAGATGTACTTTCCTTTGGATAGAGCTACTTTGAAACCCCCTCTTTCTAGCATCTGCAAGGGGACATTTGGAGGGCTTCGAGGCCTGGGGAGGAAAAGGAAATATCTTCTCATCAAAGCTACATGGAAGCATTCTCAGAAGCTGCTTTGTGATGATTGCATTCAAGTCACCGAGTTGAACATTCCCTTTGATGGAGCCGTTTGGAAACACACTTTTGGTAGAATCTGAAAGGGGAGATTTGTACCGTTTTGAGGCCTATGGCAGTAGAGGATATAACTGCACATAAAAACGAGACAGGAGCATTCCCAGGAAACACATTGTGATGCTTGAGTTCAACTCACAGAGCTGAACATTCCTTTGGATGGAGCAGTTTCCAAACACACTGGTAGATCACAGGTCTCG
>NC_000001.11:121926755-121930672 GCF_000001405.40 Homo sapiens | reverse complement strand
TTCTGTAGAATCTGCAAGTGGAGATTTGGACCTCTTTGAGGCCTATCGTAGTAAAGGAAAGAACTTCATCTAAAAACAAGACGGAAGCATTCTCAGAAAATTCTTTGCAATGATTGAGTTTAACTCACAGAGCTGAGCATATCTTTTGATGGCACAATTTCCAAACACACCTTTTGTGGAATATGCAAGTGGATTTTGGGACTTCTCTGAGAATTTCGTTGGAAACGGGATAAACCTCACATAACTGAAGAGGAACATTCTCAGAAGTTCTTGGTGATGTTGACATTCAACTGACAGAGTTGAACCCTCCCTTGTGAGTTCAGGTTGAAACGCTCTTTTCGTAGTATCTGCAAGTGGAGGTTTGGAATGCTTTGAGGCCTACGGTAGTAAAGGAAACAGCTTCATGTAAAAACTGGACAGAAGCATTCTCAGAAAATACTTTGGGATGATTGAGTTGAACTCACAGAGCTGAACATTCCTTTGGGTGGAGCAGTTTTGAAACACACTTTTTGTAGACTCTGCAGGTGGATATTTGGACCTCTCCGAGGATTTCGTTGGAAACGGGATAACGTCACCTAACTAAACAGAAGCTTTCGCAGAAACATCCTTCTGACGATGGCATTCAAAGTCCAGATTTGAGCCTTCCTTTGGTAGTTCACCTTTGAAACACTCTTTTTGGAGGACCTGCAAGTGGATATTGGGAGCGCTTTGTGGCCTTCGTTCGAAACGGCCATATCTTCACATAAAATCTAGACAGAAGCCTTCTCAGAAACTTCTCTGTGATGATTGCATGCAACTCACAGAGTTGAACATTCCTTTTGATGGAGCAGTTTTGAAACTCTCTTTTGCTAGCATCTGCAAATGGATAGGTGGAACTCTGTGAAGACTTCTTTGGAAACGGGAATATCCTCACGTAAAAAGTAAACAGAAGCATTCTCAGAAACTCCTTTGTGAGGCTTGTGTTCAACTCCCAGAGTATAACATTGCTTTTCATAGAGCAGTTTTGAAACATTCTTTTCGTAGAGCCTCCAAGTGGACATTTGGAGCGCTTTCAGGCCTGCGGTGGAAAAGGAAATATCTTCACATAAAAACTAGAGAGAAGCATTGTCAGAAACTTCTTGGTGATGATTGCATTCAACTCACGGAGCTGAGGATTCCTTTGGATGCAGCAGTTTGGAAACACTCTTTCGGTGGAATCTGCAAGCGGATATGTGGACCTCTTTGAACATTTCGATGGAAAAGGGATAATCTTCCCGTAAAAGCTAAACGGAAGCATGCTCAGGAACTTCCTTGTGATGTTTGCATTCAACTCACAGAGTTGTACTTTCCTTTTGATAGAGCAGCTTTGAAACCCCCTCTTTCTAGCATCTGCAAGGGGACATTTGGAGGGCTTCGAGGCCTGGGGTGGAAAAGGAAATATCTTCTCATCAAAGCTACATGGAAGCATTCTCAGAAGCTGCTTTGTGATGATTGCATTCAAGTCACCGAGTTGAACATCCCCTTTGATGGGGCCGTTTGGAAACACACTTTTGGTAGAATCTGAAAGGGGAGATTTGGACCGCTTTGAGGCCTATGGCAGTAGAGGATATAACTGCACATAAAAGCGAGACAGGAGCATTCCCAGGAAACGCTTTGTGACCATTGAGTTCAACTCACAGAGCTGAACATTCCTTTGGGTGGAGCAGTTTCCAAACACACTTTGTGTAGAATCTTCAAGTGGAGATTTGGACCGCTCTGAGGATTTCGTTGGATACGGGAGAAAAGTCACCTATGTAAACAGAAGCATTCTCAGACCCTTCTTCGTGATGCTTGCATTCAACTCACAGTGTTTGACCTTTCTCTGACAGTTCANGTTAGAAACACTCCTTCTGCAGAATCTGCAAGTTGAAATTTGAACTTCCTTGAGGCTAACGTATTGAAAGAAAGAACTTCATCTAAAAAGAGACGAAGCATCCCAGAAAATCTTTGCAATGATTGGTTTTAATCCAGAGCGAAGCTTCCTTTTGAAGCCCATTTCCAACACCCTTTTGGGGAAATCCCAGGGATTTTGGGACTTCTCTGAGAATTTCGTTGGAAACGGGATAAACCTCACATAACTGAAGAGGAACATTCTCAGAACTTCTTGGTGATGTTGGCATTCAACTGACAGAGTTGAACCTTCCCTTGTGAGTTCAGGTTGAAACGCTCTTTTCGTAGTATCTGTAAGTGGAGGTTTGGAACGCTTTGAGGCCTACGGTTGTAAAGGAAACAGCTTCATGTAAAAACTGGACAGAAGAATTCTCAGAAAATACTTTGGGATGATTGAGTTCAACTCACAGAGCTGAACATTCCTTTGGGTGGAGCAGTTTTGAAACACACTTTTTGTAGACTCTGCAGGTGGATATTTGGACCTCTCTGAGGATTTCGTTGGAGACGGGATAACGTCACCTAACTAAACAGAAGTTTTCGCAGAAACATCCTTCTGACGTTGGCATTCAAAGTCCAGAGTTGAGCCTTCCTTTGGTAGTTCACGTTTGAAACACTCTTTTTGGAGGACCTGCAAGTGGATATTTGGAGCACTTTGTGGCCTTCGTTCGAAACGGCCATATCTTCACATAAAATCTAGACAGAAGCCTTCTCAGAAACTTCTCTGTGATGATTGCATGCGACTCACAGAGTTAAACATTCCTTTTGATGGAGCAGTTTTGAAACTCTCTTTTGCTAGCATCTGCAAATGGATAGGTGGAACTCTGTGAAGACTTCTTTGGAAACGGGAATATCCTCACGTAAAAAGTAAACAGAAGCATTCTCAGAAACTCCTTTGTGAGGCTTGTGTTCAACTCCCAGAGTATAACATTGCTTTTCATAGAGCAGTTTTGAAACATTCTTTTCGTAGAGCCTCCAAGTGGACATTTGGAGCGCTTTCAGGCCTGCGGTGGAAAAGGAAATATCTTCACATAAAAACTAGAGAGAAGCATTGTCAGAAACTTCTTGGTGATGATTGCATTCAACTCACGGAGCTGAGGATTCCTTTTGATGCAGCAGTTTGGAAACACTCTTTGTGTGGAATCTGCAAGCGGATATGTGGACCTCTTTGAACATTTCGATGGAAAAGGGATAATCTTCCCGTAAAAGCTAAACGGAAGCATGCTCAGGAACTTCCTTGTGATGTTTGCATTCAACTCACAGAGTTGTACTTTCCTTTTGATAGAGCAGCTTTGAAACTCCCTCTTTCTAGCATCTGCAAGGGGACATTTGGAGGGCTTCGAGGCCTGGGGTGGAAAAGGAAGTATCTTCTCATCAAACCTACATGGAAGCATTCTCAGAACCTGCTTTCTGATGATTGCATTCAAGTCACCGAGTTGAACATCCCCTTTGATGGGGCCGTTTGGAAACACACTTTTGGTAGAATCTGAAAGGGGAGATTTGGACCGCTTTGAGGCCTATGGCAGTAGAGGATATAACTGCACATGAAAGCGAGACAGGAGCATTCCCAGGAAACGCTTTGTGACCATTGAGTTCAACTCACAGAGCTGAACATACCTTTGGGTGGAGCAGTTTCCAAACACACTTTGTGTAGAATCTGCAAGTGGAGATTTGGACCGCTCTGAGGATTTCGTTGGATACGGGAGAAAAGTCCCCTACATAAACAGAAGCATTCTCAGAACCTTCTTCGTGATGCTTGCATTCAACTCACAGTGTTGAACCTTTCTCTGACAGTTCAGGTTTGAAACACTCCTTCTGCAGAATCTGCAAGTGGAGATTTGGACCTCCTTGAGGCCTATCGTAGTAAAGGAAAGAACTTCATCTAAAAACAAGACGGAAGCATTCTTAGAAAATTGTTTGCGATGATTGAGTTAACTCCCAGAGCGGAGAATATCTTTTGATGGCCATTTTCCAAAAACCTTTTGTGGAAAATCCGGGGATTTTGGACTTCT
>NC_000001.11:121923582-121926655 GCF_000001405.40 Homo sapiens | reverse complement strand
GAAACCGGATTACCTCACCATAACTGAGAGGACATTTTCAGGAGTCTTTGTGATGTGACATCAACTGACAGAGTGAACCTCCCTGTGAGTTCAGTTGAAACGTCTTTTCGTAGTTTCGCAAGTGAGGTTGGACGCTTGAGGCTACGTAGTAAGGAAACAGCTTCATGTAAAACTGGACAGAAGCATTCTCGGAAAATACTTTGGATGATGAGTTCAACTCACAGAGCTGAACATTCTTTGGGTGGAGCAGTTTGGAAACACACTTTTTGTAGACTCTGCAGGTGGATATTTGGACCTCTCCGAGGATTTCGTTGGAAACGGGATAACGTCACCTAACTAAACAGAAGCTTTCGCAGAAACATCCTTCTGACGTTGGCATTCAAAGTCCAGAGTTGAGCCTTCCTTTGGTAGTTCACGTTTGAAACACTCTTTTTGGAGGACCTGCAAGTGGATATTGGGAGCGCTTTGTGGCCTTCGTTCGAAACGGCCATATCTTCACATAAAATCTAGACAGAAGCCTTCTCAGAAACTTCTCTGTGATGATTGCATGCAACTCACAGAGTTGAACATTCCTTTTGATGGAGCAGTTTTGAAACTCTCTTTTGCTAGCATCTGCAAATGGATAGGTGGAACTCTGTGAAGACTTCTTTGGAAACGGGAATATCCTCACGTAAAAAGTAAACAGAAGCATTCTCAGAAACTCCTTTGTGAGGCTTGTGTTCAACTCCCAGAGTATAACATTGCTTTTCATAGAGCAGTTTTGAAACATTCTTTTCGTAGAGCCTCCAAGTGGACATTTGGAGCACTTTCAGGCCTGCGGTGGAAAAGGAAATATCTTCACATAAAAACTAGAGAGAAGCATTGTCAGAAACTTCTTGGTGATGATTGCATTCAACTCACGGAGCTGAGGATTCCTTTGGATGCAGCAGTTTGGAAACACTCTTTGTGTGGAATCTGCAAGCGGATATGTGGACCTCTTTGAACATTTCGATGGAAAAGGGATAATCTTCCCGTAAAAGCTAAACGGAAGCATGCTCAGGAACTTCCTTGTGATGTTTGCATTCAACTCACAGAGTTGTACTTTCCTTTTGATAGAGCAGCTTTGAAACCCCCTCTTTCTAGCATCTGCAAGGGGACATTTGGAGGGCTTCGAGGCCTGGGGTGGAAAAGGAAGTATCTTCTCATCAAACCTACATGGAAGCATTCTCAGAACCTGCTTTCTGATGATTGCATTCAAGTCACCGAGTTGAACATCCCCTTTGATGGGGCCGTTTTGAAACACACTTTTGGTAGAATCTGAAAGGGGTGATTTGGACCGCTTTGAGGCCTATGGCAGTAGAGGATATAACTGCACATGAAAGCGAGACAGGAGCATTCCCAGGAAACGCTTTGTGACCATGAGTTCACTCACAGAGCTGAACATACCTTTGGGTGGAGCAGTTTCCAAACACACTTTGTGTAGAATCTGCAAGTGGAGATTTGGACCGCTCTGAGGATTTCGTTGGATACGGGAGAAAAGTCCCCTACATAAACAGAAGCATTCTCAGAACCTTCTTCGTGATGCTTGCTTTCAACTCACAGTGTTGAAACTTTCTCTGACAGTTAAGGTTTGAAACACTCCTTCTGCAGAATCTGCAAGTGGAGATTTGGACCTCCTTGAGGCCTATCGTAGTAAAGGAAAGAACTTCATCTAAAAACAAGACGGAATCATTCTCAGAAAATTGTTTGCGATGATTGAGTTTAACTCACAGAGCTGAGCATATCTTTTGATGGCGCTTTTTCCAAACACACCTTTTGTGGAATATGCAAGTGGATTTTTGGACTTCTCTGAGAATTTCGTTGGAAACGGGATAAACCTCACATAACTGAAGAGGAACATTCTCAGAAGTTCTTGGTGATGTTGGCATTCAACTGACAGAGTTGAACCTTCCCTTGTGAGTTCAGGTTGAAACGCTCTTTTCTTTTTTTTTTTTTTTTTTTTTTTTTTTTTTTTGAGACGGAGTCTCGCTCTGTCGCCCAGGCTGGAGTGCAGTGGCGGCATCTCGGCTCACTGCAAGCTCCGCCTCCCGGGTTCACGCCATTCTCCTGCCTCAGCCTCCCAAGTAGCTGGGACTACAGGCGCCCGCCACTACGCCCGGCTAATTTTTTGTATTTTTAGTAGAGACGGGGTTTCACCGTTTTAGCCGGGATGGTCTCGATCTCCTGACCTCGTGATCCGCCCGCCTCGGCCTCCCAAAGTGCTGGGATTACAGGCGTGAGCCACCGCGCCCGGCCGAAACGCTCTTTTCGTAGTATCTGCAAGTGGAGGTTTGGAACGCTTTGAGGCCTACAGTAGTAAAGGAAACAGCTTCATGTAAAAACTGGACAGAAGCATTCTCAGAAAATACTTTGGGATGATTGAGTTCAACTCACAGAGCTGAACATTCCTTTGGGTGGAGCAGTTTTGAAACACACTTTTTGTAGACTCCGCAGGTGGATATTTGGACCTCTCTGAGGATTTCGTTGGAAACGGGATAACGTCACCTAACTAAACAGAAGCTTTCGCAGAAACATCCTTCTGACGTTGGCATTCAAAGTCCAGAGTTGAGCCTTCCTTTGGTAGTTCACGTTTGAAACACTCTTTTTGGAGGACCTGCAAGTGGATATTGGGAGCACTTTGTGGCCTTCGTTCGAAACGGCCATATCTTCACATAAAATCTAGACAGAAGCCTTCTCAGAAACTTCTCTGTGATGATTGCATGCAACTCACAGAGTTGAACATTCCTTTTGATGGAGCAGTTTTGAAACTCTCTTTTGCTAGCATCTGCAAATGGATAGGTGGAACTCTGTGAAGACTGCTTTGGAAACGGGAATATCCTCACGTAAAAAGTAAACAGAAGCATTCTCAGAAACTACTTTGTGAGGCTTGTGTTCAACTCCCAGAGTATAACATTGCTTTTCATAGAGCAGTTTTGAAACATTCTTTTCGTAGAGCCTCCAAGTGGACATTTGGAGCGCTTTCAGGCCTGCGGTGGAAAAGGAAATATCTTCACATAAAAACTAGAGAGAAGCATTTCAGAAACTTCTGGGAGAT